>NW_015148967.1:157805-315610 GCF_000001405.40 Homo sapiens
TCCAGCACAATTGGTTAAAAAGAGTAGTCTATCTCATGAAATTACTTAGACACATTTGTTTGGTATCAACTGACTGTAAGTGTGCGTCCATTTCTCTTTTCTGCTCCATTCATTCATATGTCTATCTTTATACCAATACCACATTGTCTTGATTACTGTAGTTTTATAGTATTCCAATTAAATAGACAGTGTTAGTTCTCTAAATTTGTTCTTTGTTTTCAAAATTGCTTTGACTATACTATGTTCCTAGAATTTCCATATATATTTTGGAATAATCCTGTCTATTTCTATAGAAGTTTGCTGGGATTTTGATCAGCATTGAAGGTAATCCATAGATTGACTTGAGGAGAAAGTAGACTATACTATGTTCTCAGTATTTCCATATGCATTTTGGAATAATCTTGTCTATTTCTAAAGAAGTTTCCTGGGATTTTGATTGGCATTGAAAGTAATCTACAGATTGACTTGAGGAGAAAGAATGTGTTAACCACATCAACTCTTCCAATTCAATAACAAGGTATATCTCTTTGTTTATTTTGGTATTTGTTACTTTCTCACAGCAATATTTTGTGGTTTTTCATTTCACAGATCTTGCACATATATAGTAAAATGTATTTATAAAACTTCATATTTTGATTTAAAAATATATTTCCAATTGCTTATATTACATATAATTGATTTTTGCATACTGACCTAGCATCTTAGAATTCGCTAAGATTATACTAGATTTGAGCTTAGCAAATCTCATATTTGGTAGGTTCCTTAGGATTTTCTGCATACTTGATCATATCCTCAAATCAAATAAAGGAGGTTTATTGCTTTGTTTCAATCTGCATTCTCTCTTTCTCTATCTGTCTCTCTCATTGCATTGTCTAGGATCATAGTATAACATTAGGTAGAAATGAGAAGAAGTTTAGATGTTTACCCTTGCCTTGTTCTTGATTTTCAGAGAAAAGCATTTTATATTTATTGTTAAACATAATATTAGCTCTAGATTCTTTGCTTGTTTTATTTAAGCTCCTTTTTATGTGGTTAAGGGAATTCTTTTCTTGTCCTAGTTTGAAGAAAACTTTTATCTAGATAATGTTGGATTTTATTAGGTGATTTATTTGCATTTAGAGAAATGATAACTTTTTCTCACTTATTTGGTTAATATGATGGAGTGAATTGATTTTCAAAGTGAAATTGTTATTGAATTTATGGGATAAAGTCTACTTGGTCATGATGTGCTATCATTTTTATGCATTGGTGAATCCTAATTGTATTTTATAAAAAGTTTATACATGCAGTATGTACATATATAGATACATATAAATATACACACATATGAACAAACTCATATTAGACTGTAGTTTACTTGTAATATCATAATCTGGTTTTGTTATTTTAATTAATAAAGACAGTACTATTAAATCCCCAAATGTGATTTTTATTTTCTATTTCTTCTTTGAGTTTTGTCAGTTTTTGTCTTACTTATTTTGAAACACTTTTTTTTCTAAAAATACTAAATAGTTACAAAAGGCATTTATAAATTTATTATACAATATTACTACACATGTTGCAAGCTAACCTAAACACTTTTAAGTTTAATATTTATAATTAATAGGTTTTTCATTAAATAGTAGTGAGAAACTAGAAAAATCATTTCATAATACCCTTCCATCAAACATAAAATATGTTTATTAAAGTTATACTGAAGTAAAAGAGAGTTTGTCACCACAATTCTTTAGAGTATTTTCTATAAAAATAAATAAGCCATTTGGTAGGCAAAAGTCACAGATATCCTGGTATGGGAGTAATAGAAAAACAGCATGGGGCTGAGCTTAGGTGAAATTGAAATTAATTTTCACAGTTTAGTTGCCAGGTGGTCTAAGATGACATGGCTATTTAATCTTAGCTTGTAAAGGTGTGAAAGTCATAATATAAAAACTGACACATTCAAATAGAAAGAGAGACAATATTATAATTAGGCTTCATGTTCATAGTAAAGTGTGAAAGCAAAAGATTTTTTTTTACAAATCTCTCTGAATTGTAAGAAAAACCTATTTTTTGGAAGGTAAATAAGGATTTATATAGTTTTTATTCTCTGTATTACTTGTAGCAGAAGATTTTCTTGGCTGATGCTTATGTTCAAGAATGATCATTTTACCAGTGCCTGAGATCAATTTTTAGAACCATTCTACTGATGGAAATATGCCTAATTGCATGGTGCAAGATCCAGTTTTTTTTTTTTTTCCTATGGAGCGTTGTTTTTAAATTAGACCACGCTATCTGTTTCCCTTTCTAATTAAGATACAATCCCATTTGCCCTGATTGCCACAAAATTGTCTGTGAAATATATCTGACAAGTACTTTTGATGTCTTTACAAATAAATTTCAATGTATCATATTTATAATTTGTAACATATATAAAGCAATATTTTATGTTAGACACAACAAATATGACTGAGTAGATTATACTGCCTTTAGTGAACATTTATACCATAATGGTCTGGAGTAGATTTACATCTATATTGGTATTTTATTTGTGAGCAAAGTAACATTATAAAATTGGAAATATCTTGTATTCCATATATAACAATTACAATTACAGAATCATGATGACTAAAAATTACATTTATAAACCTTCTGGAAAAGAGAAACCCTACTGAAACGACTAGTGCTTTACTACCATTAAAACCATTTCCTCACCTATATATGATTAATTTCTACACATACAATATATCACAATCTTATTTTTCACAGCAAAGACCCATATTATTTTCTATATAACAAATTTTAAAATTTCTTAACTTTAGTCTCTGTAAATGATATTTTAAGAATAAATGATACTTGATTTGGTAATGAGACTCATCTATAGCATGTATAGCAATTTTGTAGGCCAAATCTCTTTGTGTAGGCTAAATCTATAATACTATAGACTCATCTATAGTACTTTTGTAGGCTAAAGATAACATTCAAGTGTATAAAATAATTATAATTACTTATTACTGAACATGTCAAACTTTAAAAATGCACCAAAAGTGTTTCCTAGGCTATATCTTATATTTTAATTAAATTATTTAAAATTATGTAAGAGAATGTTTTATATTTACTCTTTATTTTACATAATCCTCAAAATGACTTCTCTGTTAGATAAGATATAAGCAGAACAGCAAACTCAATATGTGTTTACCTATGAGTTATCATACTTAAGGAGAGTGGTCAAAGTAAAATTTCTGCATGACATGTCTGTATAACAAGTACCGAAAACACTGATTGTAAGCTAACATGTTTTTGGGGGTTATAGTATTATATAAAATATATTAACAAAAACTAAATGTTTTTACTCTCACTTAACTTTTCTTAAAATATTAAATTATTAAAGTTCAATTTCAATGAATTACATTCTATTACACTGCATATAATTTATGTAAATTAAACAAGATTATAGGTTTTGGGTGTATAAGGCTAGCTACTGCATCAAGAAATAAATAAGATTTTAACACTGGAGGTTGATCAGTCGCTTATATCACAATCCAATATGGTTGCCATTAGAAAATCATACCCAGTCCATCTTTTAATCTTCTGTAGCTGATCTCCTTCTTATGTGGCCCAAGAGGTTATAGCCCATGTGGAAAAAAAGGGAAATGAAGTATGGTGTGAGGAAGATATTACAAAACAAATTTGATTGTACCATATATCCATTCTTCTCATATTTTATTAAGCAGAAATTTGTCAGACGTCTCCACCTAACTGCATGAAAAGAAAGAATAGATGCTGGAAAATATAATTTTTCTGTGTGCCTAGGCAAGAAAACTAGATATATTTAGGAAAAATCTGTTATTTCTTTTTTCATAAATGCCAAAAAAAAAAAAGGAAAAAAGAAAAGAAAAAGAGAGATCAAAACCATATGCATAAAATATGCATTAAATTTTTTTCTGGGATTTCTAAGGCAGGAGAGCTGTGACACATACTGGGTAAAGTTGCCAAAAACAACAGAGTAATGTAATTGATAAACCACAAATGCACTATTCATTTATACTTTTCTAATTTCAGAAGACCAAAATTAGATTCTCAAAGAGTAGATTGTGAGAGCTTCTTCTGCATTTAAAAATGGTGTTAAATATTCATTATTACTATAAAGTGACTTGCGTTGGCAGAATACTTTTTTCTTTTTTACTAAATTGGTTCGATTTTTCTTCAATGAACAAATTATATTTGTAAATTAAAAATATATTTGTCTCTTACTGTGGAGAAAAATTAGAGAAAAAATATTTGCCATAAAATGGTAGCGTTCTAACAAATTATCACTAAACAATATCGGTTACAGACACTGTGTTAAACAGTTTGCCTATGTATTGTTTAATTTTTATGAGATTTTACACTAAAACAGATTTTCATTATTAAAGAATCCAAAAGATTAATTTAAACTTAATGATATCTCACTGTATGAGCTGATTCTGTGTCATGGACTACAGAAATAAAATAATAATTATTTTTTATTATAAGCATATATTCTACTCTGTAGTTAATTTGCTATCACTGATCCTGATGACATTGTTTCCTTGGCTCAGGGTAGCTGGGTCTTGCTTCGTTGCTATTGTTTAATTTTCCATACAACATTCTACAGTAAGACAATATTTTTGACATTATTTCATTTACCATTTTAATTTTATAAAATCTTGAAACAAAAAGGCACTAAAACTTGCTAAGTTCACTCATACTATGTATTGCTATCATTGGGAGTATTTACACAAAATGATTTATGAGATACTTATCTGAATGATACATATTTTTATATTTCCTAGCATCAAAGTAGAAATATCATCCCCCAAAACCAAATGTAAGCTAGAATTTCAAAGAGACGGAGTTGAATAATTTTGAAATGCACTTTCAACCTACTGAAAATAGATAAAAAGTAAAATAGAATACTTATTTGTTAAAGTTTTCTTCCATATTCATTTTTTGGTTACCAAAAACTTCAAATTTTCTGGATATTTTATGGGAAAGATTACATTGCATTTCAAGTTGTATCAGAATATAAAAACCATACAGGTTTTTGAAAAAAAATTATCTGACAATTTTCAGTCTACTTCTGTAGTTCTTAGGTTTATAGATAAAACAGGACATTTTTCCAATGATTTGTCTGCAAAATGTAGCTTAAAAAAAAACAACAAACTATCAGATTCTACGAAAAATGAAAATGAACACAAAAGTGATTATTTTATAGAGTAAGGAGTTTTCATTGCTATGAATAGCTCCTAACTTGTGACCATATTCTGCATTACCTTTTCTCAGTTATCTTGAGAAATATGTTCATGTTCTGATTTTTTAAAAAATTAGAAAAACTCAGAAATGCCTAAGAATCACACCTAACTTTATTTCACTGCAAGTACATTTTATGCATTCAGTACTGAATTTTAAAGGTGATAACTAATTTTAAATTCATCACTTCATTACACATCACTAAAATAAATTATATAAATAAGCTTATTGGAAATATTTTCCTATTTTATTAAAGATTATATTTCTTTTTGGAAAGAAATAATCAAAGCAATACTTTGAGGTAAGGCAAGGAAACTTGGATGCATTGAATGCTCTTACTAGTAAACCAAGAGAAAAAACTTCATTTAAAAAAACTTAAATCATAAATATACATTCCATAGTATTAAGAAATAAGGTGGGTTGTAGATGTTTGATGTTGCTGGATAGAATGGTGAGATGACTAAGACCATTTAAAAGTATATCATCATGTTAGTACATAGTCATCAATTTGCTTGCTGAGACAAGTTGTTAAGCTGCTCAAAACTTAGAGACTTCCAAAGGGATGTTTATACCCAATATACTTCTCACTTCTTCATAATTATGTTAGTTCAACATGGTAATAGCAAAGTATTTGGGGATTATAGCTTATGCATAAATAAAATGAAAGATATCAATTTTATAAAAGATGCAAGAGAGGAACTGGAAATACATCTATAAGTAACTGTGCTACCAGTGAAATATTATAGTGTTATTTGAACCTAGATTTATTAGTTGTAATCCATCTTTTATGCTCTAGGGCAAGCATTGAATGTCTGTTTTTAAAATAAGTATACTGATATGCTAAGAAAGGAGGATAAATAGAATCCTGTAGAAAGAAAGAAAGTGGAAGAAGAAAAAAAGAAAAAAGTGAATGATCAGAAATAGTTAAAAATAAGGTATGATAAACCAACTATGTCTGTTAGTAATCTTATAAACTGTGAATGGTTTAGGTACTCCAGATAAAAGACAAAGACTATAATAATGCATTTTTAAAAATAACAAAATGGTATGTATATATACACAGTGAAATACTATTTATTCTCAAAAAAGAAGGAAATTCTGTGATTTGTGACGATGTGTATGAACCTAGAGGACATTATGCTAAGTGAAATAAGTCAAGCACAAAAATACAAATACCTCATGATCTCACTTACTTGTGGAATCTAAAAAAGTTGAACTCATAGAAGTAGAGTAGAATGATGGTTACCAAAATATGTTCATTAGCTTGATTTAATCATTATGCAATGTATACATATATCAAAATAGCACATTATACGGCATAATATATGTAGTTATTATTTCTTAATTAAAAATAAAAAATCAACACCCAACTAGTCCTTCTCTTTTTCTTTTCTTTTGACAGGGTCTCAATTTGGGTCTCACAGTGTCACCCAGGCTGGAGTGCAGTGGCACAATCACTGCTCACTGCACCCTGGATCTCTCAGGCTTAAGCGATCTTCCTCAGCTAAAACCACAGGACGCAACAAGCTCCACCACACAGGCCAATTTTTGCACTTTTTGTAGAGATGAGGTTTCACCATGTTGCCCAGCCCGCTGTCAAACTCCTGGACTCAAGCAATCCACCTGCCTCGGCCTGCCAAAGTGCTGGGATTACAGGTTTGAGCTACCATGCCTGGCTGAAGAAACATGCTTTAAATACAAGGACACATAGATTGAAAGTAAAGAAAGATATAGTATGCTAAGATTGGCCAGTGGAAAACTGGATTAGTTATATTCATTTCAGACAAAAGCTAGCCTACAGCAAAAGAAATGATCAGAGATGGAAAGGAGCATTAGATATTGATAAAGAAGTCAAATCTAGAAGACATAATGATCCTTAATGTATGTGTACCTAAGAATAGAGCATCAAAATATGTGAGGTAAACATTATGTAAGTTTAAGGAGAAATCCACTATTACAGTGGGAAATTTCAACACAAACCTATCAGCAGTCTACTATTACTATCAGAAATCCACTATTACAGTGGGAAATTTCAACACAAACCTATCAGCAGTCCACTATTACTATCAGAAATCCACTATTACAGTGGGAAATTTCCACACAAACCTAATTCAGCAGTCAGTAAATCAGGAGGGATGTAAATGAAATGAGGAACACTATCATTAATTGGATCTAATTACCATTTGTTGACCACTTCATCCAACAACAGCAAGATACACTTTCTTCTCAAGATCACATGAGTCATTCACAAAGATAGTTTAAATTTTAGGCCATAAAACACACCTAACAAATGTTTAAAAATTAAAATCATACAAAGTTTAACCTCATATCACAACAAAATTAAACTAGATTGGAAAAAAAAACCAAAATTATGTATAAGATAAAATTGCATTTTTTAATTATTATTATTATTATTTTTTTTTTTTGAGACAGAGTCTCGCTCAGTCGCAGGCTATAGTGCAGTGGCGCGATCTCGGCTCACCGCAAGCTCCGCCTCCCGGGTTCACGCCATTCTCCTGCCTCAGCCTCTGGAGTAGCTGGGATTACAGGTGCCCGCCATCACTCCTGGCTAATTTTTTTTGTATTTTTAGTAGAGACGGGGTTTCACCGTGTTAGCCAGGATGGCCTCAATCTCCTGACCTCGTGATCCGCCCATCTCGGCCTCCCAAATTGCTGGGATTACAGGCGTGAGCCACCGCACCGGCCTTTGTTTTTAATTTTGTAGAGACAGAGGAGTCTTGCTTTGTCACCCAGGCTGGAGTGCAGAGGCACAATTATAGCTCAGTATAACCTGGAACTCCTTGGCTGAGGCAATCTTCCTGCTTCAGGCTCTCCAGTAGCCAGGACTACAGGCATATGTCACCATGCACAACTAATTTTTTAAAATTATTTTTTGGAAAGATGATGTCTCACTATGTTCCCCAGGCTGGTCTTGAATTCCTGGCCCCAAGCAATCCTCTCTCCTTGACCTCCCAGACTTCTGCGATTACATGCACCATCCACTGTGCCCAGCCTAAAAATTGCACTTCTAAATAATGTATGGTTAAAATAGTTTGAACTAAATGAAAATAAAATCAAAATGTCAGTATTTGTGCGATACAGTAAAAACAGTACTTAGAGGGAATTTTATAGCATTGAATGCATTTATTTGAAAATAAGAAAGATTAAAAACTTGTTTTTATCTTATAAAACTAGAAAGAAATAAAATTAAATCCAAAGTAAGCAGAATAAAATAATTTATAAATTAGACTAGAAATCAATTAAATTAAAAACAGATAACCAATAGAAACAGATTAAACCTGTTTCTTTGAAAAAATAATAAAATTGATAATCCTTTAGTCAGGCTACCCCCACCCCCCTAAAAAAAGAGAGAATATACAAATTTTTAGCAGAAATGAAAGTGGGGCCATCACCACTATGATTTCATGGACATTTCAAGAATAATAAAGGAATATTAAGAAACACTCTATGACCACAGTTAGATGAAATGGACGATTCCTCAAAAGACACAATCTGCCAAAACTCACACAAAAACAAACAGATAATAGGAGAAGTTAAGCCAATGTTTAATAACCAAATCAGAAAAAGCCAGGTCTTAATGGATTCACTGGTAAATTTTAGGCAAGAAATAATACTGATTCTCCACAATATCTTGCAGAAAATAGAAGCAATTGAAATACATCCTAACTCATACTATGAAGCCAATGTTACCCTAATATCAAAACCAGACAAAAACCTTATAAGAAATGTGTATTACAGACCAATATTTCTCATACACCTAGGCATAAATATCCTCAACAAAATGTAAGCATTATGAATTATGCACTATGAACAATTGAGATTTATGTCAGTATGCAAGACTGGTTAAGTTTTTCAAAAATCCATTTATGTAATTCACCACATCAACAGGCTAAAGGAAAAAAACATGCAATCCCATGCTATTGTATTAATAGATGTAGAAAAAGGATTTGACAAAATCCAATAGCCATTTATGATAAACTCTTAAGAAACACAAAGAGCAGAGTGGAGATTCTTTGGCATGAAAACATATACCAAAAAATTTACAGCTAACATCACCCTTAATGGTGAGAAACTAAGTGCTTTCACACTGAGATAAGAACAAAGCATGAATGTCCTCTCTCATAACTACTATTCAACATCCTACTGGAAGTCCTAGACAATGCAGAAAATCGTGAAAAGAAAATAAAAGATATATCAATGAGAAAGGAGGGATAAACATCTTTGTTCACATATGATATAATTATTTATGTAAGAATTGTCAAAGAATTTTAAAAAACCTACTGAAACTAATAAGTAATTTTGGCAAAGTTTCAATATACAAAGTTAATACACACAAGTCAATTGCCTTCCTGTTTATCAGTAAGAAAAAAATGAACTTTGAAATTAAAAACATATCATTAAAATTTAGCACCAAAAATGCAAACGCTGCGGTATAAATCTGACAAAATATGTATACGATCTATACAAGGAAAACTACACAACTCTGTTGAAAGAAATAAAAGAAGATTTAAATAAATGAAGATGTTTCAAGTTCGTGAACAGAAAGACTCAATATTGTTAATATGTCAGGTTGTCCCAACTTAGCCTAAAGATACAATGCAATATCAAGCAAGATCTTAACAAATTATTTTATGGATTTATTTTATGGATATTGACAATGTGATTCTAAAGTTTATATTAAAGGGAAATGATTCAGAAGAGCCAACACAACAGCAAAGGACAGCCAGAGGACTGACACTACCCAACTTTAAGACTCATATGAGGCTATGATAATAAAGACATGGTGTTATTGGTGAAAGAATAAATCAATCAATCAGTGGAACAGAATAAAATGTCCCCAAATCAACCCTCACATACATTGTCAAATGATTTTTGATGAATAAAGTGAGACAATCCAATGGAAAAAAGATGCTGAAAAGAAAAATAATGCTGGAACAACTAGACATGCACATGATTTAAAAAAAGGAATCTAGAAACAGACCTTACACATATCAAATTATCTCAAAATGGACCATATGCCTAAATTTAAAATGCAAAATTATAAAATTTCTACATAACATAGGGAAAATCTAGGTAACCTTGAGTTTAGAGGTGATATTTTATATATAACACCAAAACACTATACAGGAAAAAGATCAGGTAATTTGGACATTATCAAAATAAAATCTTCCACTCTCCTAATGACAGTGTTTAGAGAATGCAAAGTTAAGCCACAGGCTGGGAGAAAATATTTGCAAAACACATATCTAATAAAGAACTTTTATCCAAATATACAAATAACTCTTAAAACTGAACAGTAAGGAAAACATTTTAATTAAAAAATGGGCAAAATACAGGGCCAGACATTTTATCAAAGAAGATCTATAAATGGCAAATCAGTATATGATAAGGGAAATGAATTGCAAATTAAAACCACAATAAGATATCACGACACACCTATTAGAATGGCTAAAATCCAAAATGCTGACAACACGAATTGCTGTCCAGGTTGTGGAGCAACAGGAACTCGCATTCATTGCTTGTGCAAATACAAAATGGTACAGCTACTTTTAAAGACAGTCTAGCAGTTTCTTATGAAGCTAAAGAGTCTTACCGTATGTTCCAGTAATCACACTCTTTGGTATTTTCTCAAACGAGTTGAAAACTTGTGTCCATACAAAAAAATTGCACCCAAATGTTTAAAGCAGCTTTATTCCTAATTGCTAAAACTTAGAAGCAAATTGTGGGGCATCCATAGGACAGAATATTATTTAGCGAAAGAAAGAAATCTACTCATGAAATGAATTAAGGAAACTTTAAATGCATGCTGCTGTGTGAAAGAGCCCTATTTGAAAAGGCTACATACTATATAACTCCAACTATATGACATTCTGGAAAAGGCAAAACTAAAGAGACAGTAAAAACATGAGTAGTTGCCAGGATCTTGAGCAGAGAATGGAATGAACAGGCAGAACACAGGATTTTGGGGGCAGTGAAACTATTTGTATGACAGTGTAATGACAGATAAAGGACTTTATGTATTGGGGAAAACCCACAGAACTCTACAAAACAAGGTGCAAACCACAAAATAAAATATACATTTTTGTTATTAATAATGTATCAATATTGCTTGATCAATTATAATGAATGTACCACAGTAATGGAAGACGTTAATAATCAGGAAAATCAGAGGGGGCATTTGGGAACCCTTGTACTTTTTGTTAATTTTTTTCTGTAAACTTAAAACTTCTCTAAAAAATGAATTATATTAATTTAAAAAATAAGATGAGTTTTTTTAGTCATTGTTGTTTTCCAATAATTATTTTATAAGTAATAAAATAGCCTAATAAGTAGAGCAACATATAGATGAATATTAATCCAAAATAAAAATGCAAGGGGTTTATAAGCAGAAAAGTTATGTAAGAAATTATAAAGAAAAACAGTTAAAACTTTGACATAAAAATTAACTCCATAAAAAAGAAAATTGTAAATATTCAACTAAAATTAGAAAAAATACAAATGAGAATAAATATTGGTGAGGTATTAGAAAATAAGTGTCAATATCTTAAAGCAGCATAATTTAGTCCATTCTGTAATAGAAATTAGTACTTATGACTGGGGTACTGCCTCAAAAACTAAAATCAAATATTTGTAGAATTGTTTTAGGGGTTCAGCAGTAGGTAGTGAGAAAAAATATATATCATCAGGGTATGAGACAGTATCCAAATTTTGTAGTGGAAAATATTTAGTGCAATACACCAGCAAAGAACTGGAAAACATATGATACAGCTAATTTACCCAGGATTGGTGGGTAACAGGAGGTTAAAATAGCTTGTTGGTAGCACATAATTTTTGCTCTTTGCTGTGTTTGACAAGGCATTATAAGAAACTTATAGCTAAGCAAAGCATTAGCCATTTTGCAAGCAAGAATAAAAGGGAATAGAAAAGAGTAAATAAATTTAGGCATCAGGATGGAAAAGACAAAATGATAGTTGGTCAATATTAAATGATAAGAATGAATGTATTTTAGAAAAGAAGACCATGAAGTACAACTAACCCTGCTACAAGAACTAAAACAGTGCCATCACAAGACCCAGTGTTCATAACTAGAAATGAATTAAGGTGGTGCCTGAGAATTCCTCTTTATTATACCCTTGTTTGGCTCTGTTCTTACATAAAGATCATATTAAGAAAGCATTGTTCAAAAATGAGTACACATTATAGGAAATTACTCAAAAACCCAATACTAGCTGTCAGGCCTCTGAGCCCAAGCCAAGCCATCGCATCCCCTGTGACTTGCACGTATAAGCCCAGATGGCCTGAAGTAACTGAAGAATCACGAAAGAAGTGAATATGCCCTGCCCCACCTTAACTGATGACATTCCACCACAAAAGAAGTGTAAATGGCTGGTCCTTGCCTTAAGTGATGACATTACCTTGTGAAAGTCCTTTTCCTAGCTCATCCTGGCTCAAAAAGCACCCCCACTGTGCACCTTGCAACCCCCACTCCTGCCCGCCAGAGAACAAACCCCCTTTGACTGTAATTTTCCTTTACCTACCCAAATCCTATAAAACAGCTCCACCCTTATCTCCCTTCGCTGACTCTCTTTTCGGACTCAGCCCACCTGCACCCAGGTGAAATAAATAGCTTTATTGCTCACACAAAGCCTGTTTGGTGGTCTCTTCACACGGAAGTGCATGAAATTTGGTGCCGTGACTCAGATAGGGGGACCTCCCTTGGGAGATCAATCCCCTGTCCTCCTGTTCTTTGCTCCGTGAGAAAGATCCACCTACCACCTCAGGTCCTCAGACCGACCAGCCCAAGAAACATCTCACCAATTTCAAATCCAGTAAGCGGCCTCTTTTTACTCTTCTCCAACCTCCCTCACTATCCCTCAACCTGTTTCTCCTTTCAATCTTGGCGCCACACTTCAATCGCTCCCTTCTCTTAATTTCAATTCCTTTCATTTTCTGGTAGAGACAAAGGAGACACGTTTTATCCATGGACCCAAAACTGTGGCACCGGTCACAGACTGCGAAGGCAGGCTTCCCTTGGTGTTTAGTCATTTCAGGGATGCCTCTCTGATTATTCACCCACGTTTCAAAGATGTCAGACCACGCAGGGACACCTGCCTTGGTCTCTCACCCTTAGCGGCAAGTCCCGCTTTTCTGGGGAAGGGGCAAGTACCCCAACCCCTTCTCTCCTTGTCTCTACCCCTTCTCTGCTTTTCTAGGGGAGGGGCAAGTACCCCTCAACCCCTCTCCTTCACCCTTAGCGGCAAGTCCCGCTTTTCTATGGGGCAAGAACCCCCAATCCCTTATTTCCACGCCCCAACCTCACATCTCTGCGCCCCAATCCCTTATTTCTGAGCCCCAACCTCTTATATCTCTGCACCCCAATCCCTTATTTCTGCACCCCAACCTCTTACATCTCTGTGCCCCAATCCCTTATTTCTGTGCCCCAACCTCTTATTTCTGTGCCCCATCCCTTATTTCCATGCCCTGACCTGTTATCTCTGTGCCCCAACCCCTTTTCCCACTTTTCTGGAAGGTAAGAACCCCTGAACCCCTTCCCTCCATTTCTCTACTCTCTCTTTTCTCTAGGCTTGCTTCCTTCACTATGGGCAACCTTCCACCCTCCATTCCTCCTTCTACTCCCTTGGCCTGTGTTCTCAAAAACTTAAAACCTCTTCAACTCACACCTGACCTAAAACCTAAAATGCCTTATTTTCTTCTGCAATGCCGCTTGACCCCAATACAAACTCGACAGTAGTTCCAAATAGCCAGAAAATGGCACTTTGAATTTTTCCATCCTGCAAGATCTAAATAATTCTTGTCGTAAAATAGGCAAATGGTCTGCGGTGCCTGACATCCAGGCATTCTTTTATACATCAGTCCCTTCCTAGTCTCTGTGCCCAGTGCAACTCGTCCCAAATCTTCCTTCTTTCCCTCTCGCCTGTCCCCTCAGTACCAATCCCAAGCGTCGCTGAGTCTTTCTAATCTTCCTTTTCTACAGACCCATCTGACTTCTCCCTTCCTCCCCAGGCTGCTCCTCACCAGGCCGAGCTAGGTCCCAATTCTTCCTCAGCCTCTGCTCCTCCACCCTATAATCTTTTTATCACCTCCCCTCCTCACACCT
Organism: Homo sapiens; assembly: GCF_000001405.40. Classification (NCBI taxonomy): domain Eukaryota; kingdom Metazoa; phylum Chordata; class Mammalia; order Primates; family Hominidae; genus Homo; species Homo sapiens. The sequence goes on from NW_015148967.1 coordinate 172,192, forward strand.
GGTCCGGCTTACAGTTTCGTTCTGTGACTAGCCCTCCCCTTCCTGCCCAGCAATTTACTCTTAAAAAGGTGGCTGGAGCCAAAGGCATAGTCAAGGTTAATGTTCCTTTTTCTTTATCCCAAATCAGATAGCGTTTAGGCTCTTTTTCATCAAATATAAAAATCCAGCCCAGTTCATGGCTCATTTGGCAGCAACCCTGAGACACTTTACAGCCTTAGACTCTAAAAGGTCAAAAGGCTGTCTTATTCTCAAAATACATTTTATTACCCAATCTGCTCCCGACATTAAATAAAACTCCAAAAATTAAATTCCGGCCCTCAAACCCCACAACAGGATTTAATTAACCTCGCCTTCAAGGTGTACAATAATAGAAAAAAGTTGCAATTCCTTGCCTCCACTGTGAAACAAACCCCAGCCACATCTCCAGCACACAAGAACTTCCAAACACCTGAACCGCAGCGACCAGGCGTTCCTCCAGAACCTCCTCCCACAGGAGCTTGCTACACGTGCCGGAAATCTGGCCACTGGGCCAAGGAATGCCTGCAGCCCGGGATTCCTCCTAAGCCGCGTCCCATCTGTGTGGGACCCCACTGAAAATCAGACTGTTCAACTCACCTGGCAGCCACTCCCAGAGCCCCTGGAACTCTGGCCCAAGGCTCTCTGACTGACTCCTTCCCAGATCTTCTTTGCTTAGCTGCTGAAGACTGACACTGCCCGATGGCCTCGGAAGCCCTCTAGACCATCACGGACGCCGAGCTTCGGGTAACTCTCACAGTGGAAGGTAAGCCCGTCCCCTTCTTAATCAATACGGAGGCTACCCACTCCACATTACCTTCTTTTCAAGGGCCTGTTTCCCTTGCCTCCATAACTGTTGTGGGTATTGACGGCCAGGCTTCTAAACCTCTTAAAATCCCCAACTCTGGTGCCAACTTAGACAATACTCTTTTAAGCACTCCTTTTTAGTTATCCCCACCTGCCCAGTTCCCATATTAGGCTGAGACACTTTCACTAAATTATCTGCTTCCCTGACTATTCCTGGACTACATCTGTATCTCATTGCCGCCCTTCCTCCCAATCCAAAGCCTCCTTTGTGTCTTCCTCTTGTATCCCCCCACCTTAACCCACAAGTATAAGATACCTCTACTCCCTCCTTGGCGACCGATCATGCACCCCTTACCATCTCATTAAGACCTAATCACCCTTACCCCACTCAACGCCAATATCCCATCCCGCAGCACGCTTTAAAAAGATTAAAGCCTGTTATCACTCACCTGCTAGAGCATGGCCTTTTAAAGCCTATAAACTCTCCTTACAATTCCCCCATTTTACCTGTCCTAAAACCAGACAAGCCTTACAAGTTATTTCAGGATCTGCACCTTATCAACCAAATTGTTTTGCCTATGCACCCCGTGGCGCCAAACCCATATACTCTCCTATCCTAAATACCTGCCTCTACAACCCATTATTCTGTTCTAGATCTCAAACATGCTTTCTTTACTATTCCGTTGCATCCTTAATCCCAGCCTCTCTTCGCTTTCACTTGGACTGACCCTGACACCCATCAAGCTCAGCAAATTACCTAGGCTGTACTGCCGCAAAGCTTCACAGACAGCCCCCATTACTTCAATCAAGCCCAAATTTCTTCCTCATCTGTTACCTATCTCGGCATAATTCTCATAAAAACACACGTGCTCTGCCTGCCAATCGTGTCCGACTGATCTCTCAAACCCCAACCCCTTCTACAAAACAACAACTCCTTTCCTTCCTGGGCATGGTTGGATACTTTCGCCTTTGGATACCTGGTTTTGCCACCCTAACAAAACCATTACATAAACTCACAAAAGGAAACCTAGCTGACCCCATAGATCCTAAATCCTTTCCCCACTCCTCTTTCCGTTCCTTGAAGACAGCTTTAGAAACTGCCCCCACTCTAGCTCTCCCTGACTCATCCCAACCCTTTTCATTACACACAGCTGAAGTGCAGGGCTGTGCAGTCAGAATTCTTACATAAGGACCAGGATCGCGTCCTGTAGCCTTTTTGTCCAAACAACTTGACCTTACTGTTTTAGGTTGGCCATCATGTCTCCATGCAGCCGCTTCTGCTGCCCTAATACTTTTAGAGGCCCTCAAAATCACAAACTATGCTCAACTCACTCTCTACAGTTCTCATAACTTCCAAAATCTATTTTCTTCCTCATACCTGATGCATATACTTTCTGCTTCCCGGTTCCTTCAGCTGTACTCACTCTTTGTTGAGTCTCCCACAATTACCATTGTTCCTGGCCCAGACTTCAATCCGGCCTCCCACATTATTCCTGATACCACACCTGACCCCCATGACTGTATCTCTCTGATCCACCTGACATTCACCCCATTTCCCCAGATTTCCTTCTTTCCTGTTCCTCACCCTCATCACGCTTGATTTATTGATGGTAGTTCCACCAGGCCTAATTGCCACACACCAGTAAAGGCAGGTTATGCTACAGTACAAGCCACTAGCCAGCCTCTTAGAACCTCTCATTTCCTTTCCATCGTGGAAATCTATCCTCAAGGAAATAACTTCTCAGTGTTCCATCTGCTATTCTACTACTCCTCAGGGATTATTCAGGCCCCCTCCCTTCCCTACACATCAAGCTCGAGGATTTGCCCCACCCAGGACTGGCAAATTAGCTTTACTTAACATGCCCTGAGTCAGATAACAAAAATACCTCATAGTCTAGGTAGATACTTTCACTGGATAGGTAGAGGCCTTTCCTACAGGGTCTGAGAAGGCCACCCCAGTCATTTCCTTCCCTTCTGTCAGACATAATTCCTCAGTTTAGCCTTCCCACCTCAATACAGTCTGATAACAGACGAGCCTTTATTAGTCAAATCAGCCAAGCAGTTTTTCAGGCTCTTAGTATTCAGTGAAACCTTTATATCCCTTACAGTCCTCCGCCTTCAAGAAAAGTAGAATGGACTAAAGGTCTTTTAAAAACACACCTCACCAAGCTCAGCCACCAACTTAAAAAGGACTGGACAATACTTTTACCACTTTCCCTTCTCAGAATTCAGGCCTGTCCTCTGAATGCTACAGGGTACAGCCCATTTAAGCTCCTGTATAGACGCTCCTTTTTATTAGGCCCCAGTCTCATTCCAGACACCAGACCAACTTAGACTGTGCCCCCAAAAAACTTGTCATCCCTACTATCTTCTGTCTAGTCATACTCCTATTCACCGTTCTCAACTACTCATATATGCCCTGCTCTTGTTTACACTGCCAGTTTACACTGTTTTTCCAGGCCATCACAGCTGATATCTCCTAGTGCTATCCCCAAACTTCCACTCTTAACTCTTGAAGTAAATAAATAATCTTTGCTGGCAGGACTATCCTGAATCTCCTTAGGCACTCTCTAATCAGATGTCCTGAGTCATCCCAATTCCTAGAACTTTTATACCTGTTTTTCTCCTTCTGTTATTCCATTTAGTTTCTCAATTCATCCAAAACCGTATCCAGGCCATCACCAATCATTCTATATGACAAATGTTTCTTCTAACATCCCCACAATATCACCCCTTACCATAAGACCTCCCTTCAGCTTAACCTCTCCCACTCTAGGTTCCCACGCCGCCCCTAATCCCGCTTGAAGCAGCCCTGAGAAACATAGCCCATTCTCTCTCCATACCACCCCCCAAAAATTTTCGCCACCCCAACACTTCAACACTATTTTGTTTTATTTTTCTTATTAATATAAGAAGGCAGGAATGTCAGGCCTCTGAGCCCAAGCCAAGCCATCTCATCCCCTGTGACAGGCCCACATGGCCTGAAGTAACTGAAGAATCACAAAAGAAGTGAATATGCCCTGCCCCACCTTAACTGATGACATTCCACCACAAAAGAAGTGTAAATGGCTGGTCCTTGCCTTAAGTGATGACATTACCTTGTGAAAGTCCTTTTCCTAGCTCATCCTGGCTCAAAAAGCACCCCCACTGTGCACCTTGCAACCCCCACTCCTGCCCGCCAGAGAACAAACCCCCTTTGACTGTAATTTTCCTTTACCTATCCAAATCCTATAAAACAGCCCCACCCTTATCTCCCTTCGCTGACTCTCTTTTCAGACTCAGCCCACCTGCACCCAGGTGAAATGAACAGCTTTATTGCTCACACAAAGCCTGTTTGGTGGTCTCTTCACATGGATGTGCATGAAACTAGCAACACATAAACTCTGGTTTAGAAGAAGTAAAAATGTACTGCTGATATGAGAGAATATGCTATATTTCATTTATCATAATACATGTGGTAATAAGCTGTACAGATCTGCACAGCTAATCTACTTAATATAATTTTTTAGTCTTGAGAAACACAAATTGTTTTGCTCATCAGTTCAATTTCTAATCTATGTTTAAGTTCATTACATAAAATTCATGGATTTATACCAGCATTCTAAGCAAACAGAGTTTGTGGCATTGGAAAAAAAGGATTCTGTGATTGTTTAAGTGAATTATGTTATAAATGCAAAGAGAAGATAAAATATTTTTTAAAAAAATTTCTAAAATATATATCTATATATATTTTCCCTTTTTTTTCTGAACCTTTTTTTTGCTGAACCTTTCTATAGTACAGAAATATCATGCAAAAAAGTTCATTCTCAGTCAAGGTTTAAAATAATTTTCTTAAACAGAAAATCCACTTAATATTCATCTAAATTTCTTTCCATAGAGAAGATTTTTGTATATACAAAGTATAATTACGATATATTATTCAAACCTACACTGTAAATGAATAAGAGATATGTAGCAAAAGAAAATGTGCTTTGAGTCCTTTACATATTATCATTGAAGCAGAGTAATAAGATCATATTTTCTGTTAGGAGTATTATCAAGATGGTGCCTTCTCTCCTATATTATTATTACTATTATTATTATTATTATGTTATAATATTGGGTTACTTTAATAATATAGTGGAGAAGATTTAGCCATATCAGTGTAAAATAACATTATACAGTAGAGATAAAAATAAAGGCTTTGAATTTAAGAATTTTATGTTAAAATTAAAATGATTTAACACAAAATTCTTCAAAAATCATACAAGTTATTTCCATTTTTTGATTTAGAGGTCATTTTTATTTGAAATAGCAATGCATTCACTCTATTGCTGAAATGATAGTTTATTGTAGGCAAAAATAAAATAAATTAATTTAATAGGATTTTAACTTAACTTTTTCCTCTCCAGGATCTTTATACTTTACTTCTTATTTCTTTTTTTTTAACTGATACCCTTGCTTCTTGATATCACAGCCTCACAACCTTATTCACCTCAGCAGGGAGCATCACATAAAAGAGATGCTTGAAAGGGTAATGGCATTCACTGCATTGCTAATCTATTCTTTCAACCACTGATTAGCATTGAAATTGATTTTGAACTCCTTGTGACTAAAATGACATTAATTTAGCATTTGCTGTTAGAAACATAGCACTTATTTCATGTTAGCAGGTGACACATGATTAATTTGATAACTTGATGGTTCCAACTCTTTACAAGCATCAGAAATGTTAGCCGAGAAGAGCTCTGTGAGAGAAAAGTAACTATAAATGTCTTTGAATACCAAAGACTGAAAAGTCCTCCTTCTGTAGAAAGTATTTGGACTAGGTAGTTTCTGTGAATGCTGTGTATGCATTCGACACTCGAATTCTCATCAGCATCTCTGTGATAACTCAGAGGTTCTCAATTCTAGCTCAGTGTTAGAATCACCTAAAGAACTTTAAAAATATTGGTACCTTGATCCCAATCCCAGAGGTCCTGATTTATTTGGTGAGGTATGGTGTCAAGGCACATCAGTACATGCCTTGACACCAAAGCTCACCAAACAAATATATATAGTTGTATACCATATATAATATATAGTGTACAACATGATGTTTTGAAATGTACCTACACTGTAAAATGACATAATCAAGCTAATTAACATACACATTACCTCACGTACTTATTGTTTGTCATTAGAAAACAAAAATCTCTCTTAGCAATTTTCAGATTCAAATACATTATTACTAACTATAGTCAATATGTTGTACCATAAATGTCTAGAATTTATTTATCCCATCTAACTGAAATTTTACATATTTTGACCAACATCTTCCCAACCTCTCATCCTCTAAGTCCCTGGAAACCATTCTACTCTCTTCTTCTATGAGTTCAACATTTTCTACCTAGAAGCCTCTGATGAGAACCAGTGATTAAATATTTAGTTTAAATTTCAACTATTATTGTAGATACAATGGGTACATATGTAGGTCTGTTACTTAAGAACATTTTGTGATACTGGTGTTTGGGGGTACACAGCCATAAAAAATGAAATAGTGCCTTTTGCAGTAACATGGTTGGAACTGCAGGCCATGATCCTTAGTGAGAACCAATTTTAACTCAGTCTTCAAGTACCCACACTGATGTATGCCTCTTATCATGGACTTGCCCATGTATGTTCCAAAACTGTCTATAAATAGTAAGTATAAATATTAAGTATTTTTTTCTGGCTCTCATATAGGAATTTGTGCAAGTGAAAAGGACAGTAATATTTCCCTTTTAATACATGTAAGACAAATTGTGCTTCATTTTAATGTCAAATGTTTTCAACACTTTTCAGTAAAATAATCTTTTTATTATACTTCAAGTTTTAGGGTACATGTTCACAACGTGCAGGTTAGTTACATATGTATACATGTGCCATGTTGGTGTGCTGCACCCATTAACTTGTCATTTAACATTAGGTATATCTCCTAAAGCTATCTCTCCCCACTCTCCCCACCCCACAACAGGCCCCGGTATGTAATGTTCCCCTTCCTGTGTCCATGTGTTCTCATTTTTAATCACACAGGGAAAATGTTGGTATAATTTATTTTTAAATCTCCAAAATATTTTTACAGGATAGAACCATATTAAAAATAAAATTTAAAATATAAACTATCTTAGTCTATGTGTTAGAATGAAATATTCATTCCCACTATTTCATCCCATTGCTCTTTACGATTATTCATTTTTGTTAGAAATAATAAAATATTCAACAGAAAGAAAATCAGTCTTTCTAAAAAAAAAAAAAAAAAAAAAAAAAAAAAAAAAACCCAAAAAAAAAAAACCACTGTCTTTCTAAAAAAAAAAATTGGCCTAGATAGAGGATCAGGATTCTAGGGATGACTCTGCAGCTCACTTGCTGTAAGATTTAGGTAAACTTTTAATCCTGCTTCTCTTCACTTTCATAAAACATTAGGCTTGCAATAAGCTAATTCTAATATTCTTTTGAGGCATTTACTACCCCCAAATTCATTTCTCATACTACAGGAAAATTAAACTACTCACTTCGGATCTATTGTCAAACCACATTTAGTTTGATTGGCACTACAAAGGCACTGCAAAAATACTTGTGAAATAAATGAATGACTGTTTCCCTTACTTTACTGAATATTTTACTTTAAACCCTACATATTTTTCAAAAAATAAGGTTTTATCTTTAGCTTCTGCAATGTTGCTTTGCAGGATCCTTAATCAAACCCAATCTCACAAATATGTCAGTAATACAACTATCAAACTAATTTTTATTTATATTACCAATTAATAACAACAACAATGCTGACTTCTCCTTACATAGGACCTGATGCTTTTAACATGCATTCATGTGTGTATATATCTTGCCATGATTCTTACATGGTGTGGTGTTCAAGGGCAGTATCATGATCTCGTGTAACACATGAGGAAACAGTTTTTTTTTTGGAAGCTGAAAAGTGATAGAACATCTCATTTAAGGCTGTATTTCTCTTAATTATATTGCCGGCATTTGAATACAGATATTGTGCACAGATTCTAAAATGGATCCCAATGATAACCATACCTTTGTGTAACCCGCTTCACTTCTGTGTACACCAGATCTGCCGGCTTGCTTCTAATAAACAGAATACCACAAATGTGATGAAATGTCACTTCAGAAATTGGGTGATAAACAACTTTGAGCTACCTCACTTTCTTTCTCTCTCTTTTTTTTTCTCTCTCTCACTTCTCTCAGGACTTGCTCTGAGAGAATATCAATAGGTGTTCATCTTGAAAATAAAATTAAGAAGACTGAAATGTTACCTTACCATAAAATGATTATTCTGACAATGCTTTTGCCACATTCGAGGTGAAAATCATGACAAGCGTCTATGGTACTGCCATTTTAAAATAGTAAACTAGTAAAAAAATAATGAATGAATCTCACAGAACAACTTGAGGACCACAAAAATAAAAATGTGATGATTAAAGTCTCAGGAAGATAAACACATAAGATACATTTCACTAAAGTCGAAGAAAAATAAAATTCAAGAAAAATCTCTAAGGTATGACATGACTTTTAAAAGTTGCTATAAAAGAAAGAATACAAAACAAGTACATATGCCATTAAATATTTGGTTGTTCTCCAAAAAGTCTGTGTGTGTGTGTGTGTGTGTGTGTAAATAAACATATACCAGAAAATAGCCTTCTACTTGCCCACAGTATGGTGCAATACACAGTACACCACAGCAGGAGTTTGTCATGGTACCTCTATGATTTGAAACTTTATCATAAAAACACATGACTGATGTAGAACTTACAGTTAAAGATGCCATTCTATAAATAGAAATACACATTGCTTCCTGGTGAAGAGTTTATACACTAAGGCCAAATTACATGTTTGGGATACTGACAGCCTTGTTTAGCATTTGGAACATAAAGTATATAAACACGTTAGTTGAATGAAAGAAAAAATAATTTCTCCAGTAGCAGATGTACTGATATGTATCTTGATCATGTCACAGAGCTTGGCCCTAAAGAGCTGTGATCTTAACCTTCTTGTCTATAATGACTCAATATATGTTCCTGGATTACTATCTTTTTAAAACATCAAAAAGATCATGGGAAAAATTTCAAAGTAAGAGAAAAAGATGGAGTCTATAAAACACATATTTTCTTGATATGGGGTGAGATAAATGAAATTGTAGAAATATTTCCAAAATACTTGGGGTGAAAGGGGGATGAGCTTAATGGAATATTTAAAAAATATTAGAAGAAATAAATGTTGAAAGATGAATACATGAAAGTTGTGCGAATGCTGAACTTAAAGACTATTAATCAATAAAATATAAATACAAATAAAACAATTCAATATTAGATTGTGAAAGCAAGAGGTACCTATGAAAACAAATATAATTGTTGAATACTGAGACTAGAGAACCTGGGAGGTCACTAAGCTTTGATTTGTAAGCAAACACTCCCTTAAGAGCTTAACTTCGTTCAAGTGTTATCATTTCATTAAAATCTTGAAATAATCTTTCCATTTGATTTGAGATTCTGAAAAATAAAATTTTAATGTTTTTTCCTGTGGTTGTTTTTAACAAGTATTTTTTAACATAAAGTTGAACTTAACATATTTCCTATTTTTGTTGGACTTGTAGTCCTGATAGAGAAGTTTTCTCCCTCCCTAGTTAGAAATTCACTCACAGCTTCTTTTAATAGCTTTTTTTTGTTTGTTTTACTTGGTACATTTACATAATTAATCCAAAAAAAGATAAATTTGGAAGTTAACTCGTTGCATATGGCAGGATAAAACTTCTCTTTTAGTATTGCTTCTTCACTTTTTAGTTTTCTGTTTGTATCAGTGAATGTTATTTTAGTGTGTTGATTGTGAAATCAGCCACTTTCTTATTTGGATTGTGAAAGTGATTTTTGGGGAAGATTCCTAGATGTATATTCAGGTTATATTTAAATAAAGTTTATGTTATGTTTTTCTTTCCAATTTCAATGATTTTGTCTCACCTAATTGATGTGGCTAGTATTTTCAAATTGATGTGGCTAAAATGACAAAGGGTCTGATATTTTAACTACTTGCCAACTAACAAATTAGAATGCCACAGTTCCAACTTTGCTAATAGACAACATGAGACTCCTGGGTCAAATACAAAGGATTTTATTATTTACACCAAAGCAGACAGAAGGGGCTTCATATTTCTATTGGTTCTTGTTCTCCAAGTTCCACACGGGTGATTTGGAGCAGCCTACAATGTTCCGCATGGGTGATTTGGAGCAGCCACAATGCTTTGTGTCACAAATGACGAACTCTCAACTTGGGACATCCCCAACCTTACAAGGAGAAAACAAACAATCCTGTCCAACCTTTATTCCAGGATAAGATGTATATATTATCTTTATTATTCTGGTCAGTGAACAAGTCTACCCTCTGCTCTGTAGGGTGACATTATTCCTGCTTCCAAACTGTTTATCATAGAAACACACTTGAGAATATATTCTGGAAAAAAATTAATACAGACCTTTAGAGATACCATGAAGAATTTTCTCCCAACATAATGTTAAGTAATAATGAAGATAAGATAAATCCTTTTTTGTTCGTTTGTTTCTGATCAGGTGGAAAAGCTCTTAGCATGTATGCATTAAGTTAGTGTCTGGCTTTAGTGCTGAGATATATTAATTCTAACATGCTAAGGATACATTAACTGATACCAAATTATTGACTGTCTTTTTAACAGAATTGGGGGTAATATTTTGTCAAATGCCTTTTAAGAACCTACAGATATAATCATATGCTAATTTTATCTACCTATATTAATGTGTAATAATGGATAAATTAGTGGCTAAATGAAGATAATAATAGATTTACTAATGTATGTCTATTATTATAAATTAGAGAAATAATTCTAAGATAATCCCCAATGACCTGTATCCATGTTTAATATCCTTGAGTGTAGGAATGACCTGTAACTTCGTTTTAGAATATAGCAAAGGGAAGATAATATTATTCCAATGATTACATTAAGTATCATAATATGGCAAAAATAAAGAGATACCAAAGATGCATTTAAGGTTCCTAGTCAGTTTACTTTCAGGTTAATCAAAAAAGAAATTGTACTGGATGAGTTTGACATAATCAGGTTAGCCATTTAAAAGAGGTCTAGATATCAGACAGAAATCTGAGACTAGAAGAGTAGAAATGTTCTTCTGGCCATGAAGAAGCTAACAGCCTGGTTTGAACTCTCAATGGACAGAGACAGCTTCTTGGAACTGGGAACCTCGATTCTACAACTAAAGGAAGTGAAAAATGCCAACAATCCTGTGATCTTCGGAGGGCACCCAGGACTTCAGATGAGACACCATGATTGCTGCCTTGGAAGACCCTGCCAGAAGAATCGGTTAAGGTATGCTTGAACTTCTGAGCTGTAAAACTGTGAGATAATGAAGTAAATTGTTTCAAGATGCTAAGCTTGAGATAATTTGTTATGCAGCAATATAAATCAATACATTTTGTAGTAAATGCACTAGATTTATTAATGGATATAATGCATTCCAATGAATTCCGAGATGAACCCTATTTTAAAGTATTTTTAACGATGTCATTGCCTTTGGTTTGGTAATATTTTATTTAAGACTTTTATATTCATTAGTGAGTTTGCGATGTAGTGCTTTTTAAGTATGTAGCATTCTTATATTGCAGATGACTAGAATTCACAATAAATTTGATAAGCATTGTATGTTAAAAATATATTCATTTTACCCTGACACTTGAATGTTCATTTAGTCATTGACATTTAGGGTTCAAAATTAATAAGAAGGCAGGTGGCGGTTATTTTTTCTGTTTTCTTTATGAATGCATTTCAAGCAGCTGGGACCGTGATTAAAAAATTATGGTTGGTCCATTAAATTTCTTGATGAATGAAAAAGTAATTATTTCATCATTGCTTTTTATAAGTCAGTATTGTGCATGAGCTGGCCATAGATAACTTTATTCCCATACTTTCATTGATTCTCCACTTACCATATATGCATGTATATATGTATTTGCTTATTCATTTGTTCATTTTTATTATTATTTGTTGCTGTTGGCATTGAAATGTTTACAGTCGTATGCCTAGGTCTTTATATTCATCCTGTTTATTACCTGGATGGTACACTCTAGATATCTTATTTACTTATATCTGTTTTCAACTCTGGAAAAAGATTTTTTATTGTTTCTTTGGTAACATTTTTTCTTCTGTTCTTGTTGCAGCTAATCTTTATATCTTCTATTTTAACCTTCCTTTCTTATTTTTCTCTCATTGTCTTGCATTTACTACTTTTTAGTAAAAAAAAGAACAAAATTCAGGTTTGTAGGCTCATTATTTCTAATGTATTAATTCTGCTATTCAGCCCTTCTATTTAGTTTTGTTACTATGATTGTTAGACATATTTCAAGGAATTCTAATTGTCTCACTTTATCTTTGGTTTTAACCATTTTCGTTTTTCAGATGAGATGTCCACCACATAAACAAATGTCATCTATAAATATTAATTCAACAATATATTTCAATACATTACATTTTAGGCTTTTCTATACCTTGAAGCTACTGAATTTCACTGGAAAAAAAGTCCTAACCTTTGCATTATGCAGTTTAGTTCTGTGTGGGAAGTTTTTTTAAAATGAAAGAAATCGTGCGTGTGTGTGTGTGTGTGTGTGTGTGTGTGTGTGTGATACGTTTGAAAGGGGATGTTAAATTACTAAATGGTAACGAAAAAAATAGAGCAGGTTAAGGAGATAAGGACTATAGTGGGCAGTAGGGGGTGCAACTTTATATAGAATGGTCAGAAAAGTCTTTGATTAGGTGACCCTTAAGCAGAGACGAGAGGTAGTGAAAGATGAAAGAGCAAGTCATGCAAAAACTAGAAAAAATTTTGGGGAAGGAAAAATGACTCTTTTATGAAAAGGCTCTTTTAGTGTATATAAGCATTAATGTTTACAAAAACTTACTCCTATATCTTCTACAGAAAATGTTATAGACATTTTTATTTTGTGCATCAGTTAGCTATTTCTGAGTAACAATTTACCCTAATATAAAATGGCTTAAAATATCAGGTGTTTATTATTTTCACGAGTCTGTGTGTTAGCCAGGTTGGTCTACTGAAGTGGATGAAGCTCAGCTTATCTCTCCTAGACTTACGTGTTTGAAATGAGCAAGTGGGTTAGCTGGAGGCCTGTTACCCTAAGATAGCTGCAATTAGGATGCTCCACCATGTAATTTATTGTCCTCCTCCAGTTTATCCTGTCTGGCTCTCAGGGTAGTGGAAGGTTCTGAAAACAGAGAGTGAAATGTGCAAATAATTTTCAAGATTTTGCTTGTATTAAAATTGCTACAGTCTCATTGTGCAAAGCAGGTTATACAGTTTAACAAAAAGTCAGAGTGAAAGTAGACTACAAAGTTATAAAAGAAAGGACATATACAGTGGGAACACTTAAACGGGGTAATTAGTGCAATCAATCAATGTTGATTTAACATAAATCAATAAATTATTACTCTGAGAATTTGAATTATGTTCAATTACCATTTATTTATGGTTGTAGGCTTTGTATCTCAAAGGGTTTGTTAACTCATATGTAGCTGCTATTTCTGTATATCATAGTCAAACTCAGTTAGTTCTAGAGAAAGCATGCTGCCCTGTAATATAAATCAATTCTACATCTTCTTAAATGTTTCATTTTTTATTTTTGTGGGTACACAGTAGTTGCATATATTCATGAAGTACATGAGATATTTTGATGCAGACATGCAATACATAATTACATCATGGAAAATGGGATGTCTGTCTCCTTAAGCATTTATCCTTTGTGTTACAAACAATCCAATTATACTCTTCTAGTTATTTTAAACGCTACAATTAAATGATTATTGACTGTATTCACCATGTAGTGCTGTCAAATACTAAATCTTATTTACTCTTTCTATTTTTTGTGCCCAGTAACTGTCCTCAGCTCCTCCCACTCCCCACCCTCACCCTTCCCAGCCTCCGCTAACTTTCCTTCTGCTCTCTATCTCCATGAGTTCAATTGTTTTGATTTTTAGATCCCACAAATAAGTGAGAACATGTGATGTTTGTTGTTTTGTGCTTGGCTTATTTTACTTAACATAATAACCTCCAGTTCCATCCATGTTGTTACAAATGAAATGATCTTGTCTTTTTATAGCTGAATAGTACTCCATTGTTTATATGTACCTCATTTGCTTTATCCATTCATCTGTTGATGGACACTTAGCTTGGTTACTTATAAGTCTTCACTATTGTGAAGAGTGCTGCAATAAACACAGGAGTGCAGATAACTCTTTGATGTACTGATTTCCTTTCTATATACTCAGCAGTGGTAGCTCTATTTTTAGTTTTACGAGAACCTCCAAACTGCTCTTCATAGTGGTCATACTAATTTACATTCACATCAACAATGTAGGAAGTTTCTCTTTTCTCCATATCCTCTCCAGCATTTGTTATTGCCTGTTGTTTGCATATAAACTATTTTAACTGGGGTGACATGGTATCTCATGGTAGTTTTGATTTGCATTTCTCTGATGGTCAGTGATATAGAGCACCTTTCATATACCTGTTTTTCACTTGCATGTATTTCTTTTTGAGAAATCTCTGCTCAGATCTTTTGCCCATTTTTAATCAGATTATGATATTTCTTTCCTGTAGAATTGTTAAAGCTCCTTATATATTCTGGTTATTAATTCTTTGTCAAATGAGTAGTTTGCAAATATTTTCTCTCGTTCTGTGGGTTGTCTCTTCACTTCGTTTACTGTTTCCTTTACTGTGCAGAAACTTTTGACTTGTTCTGATTCCATTTGTCCATTTTTGCTTTGGTTGCCTGTGCTTGTGGCATATTACTGAAGAAATCTCTGCCCAGTCCAATGTTCTGGAGAGTTTCCCCCAATATTTTCCTGTGGTAGTTTCATAATTTGATTTAGCCTTTAATTCATTCTGACTTTATTTTTTATATGGCCAGAGATAGGGGTCTAGTTTCATTCTTCTGCATATGGCTATTCAGTTTTCCCAGTACCATTTGTTGATGAGACTGTATTTTCCCCAGTGTATGTTCTTGGCACCTTGTTGAAAATGAGCTCACTATAGGTGTGTGAATTTGTTTCTGGGTTCTCTATTCTGTTCCCTTGGTCTATGTGTCTGTTTTTATGCCAGTACTGTGCTGTTTTTGGTTATTATACCTTTGTAGCATAATTTGAAGTAAGGTAATGTGATTCCTCCAGTTTTGTACATTTTGCTTAGGAGAAGTTTGGCTATTCTGGGTCTTTTATGGTTCCATATAAATTTTAGGATTCTTTTTTTCTATGTCTGTTAAGAATGTCATTGGTATTTTGATAGGAATTACATTAAATCTGTAGACTGCCTTGGTTAGTATGGACATTTTAACAATATTGATTCTTCCAACTCGTGAACATGGAATATTTTCATTTTATTGTATCTTCTTCAATTTATTTCATCAGTGTTTTATAATTTTCATTGTAGAGAGCCTTCACTTCTTTGGTTAAGTTGATTCCTAGGTACTTATTTTTTTATGATTATTGAAAATGAGATTACTGTTTTAATCTTCAACTTTTATTTTTAAGTTCAGTGGTACATACATGTGCAGGATGTGCAGATTTGTTACATAGGTAAACATGTGCCATGGTGGTTAGCTGTACAGATCATCCCATCACCTAGGTATTAAGCCTTGCATCCATTAGCTATTCTTCCTGATGCCCTCCTTCCCCACATCACCCCCACCAGCAGGGCCCAGTATGTGTAGTTCTCCCCCACAATGTTATTACTTTTTCAATTTCATTTTCAGATTTTTCACTGTTGGTATATAGAAACACAACTGATTTTTGTATGTTGATTTTGTATCCTGCCACTGAATTTGTTATCACTTCTAATAGTTTTTTGTTTTTTTTTTTTTTTTGGTGGAGTCTTTAGGTTTTTCCAAATAGAAGATCATATCATCTGCAAACATATAATTTGACTCCTCCCTTTTCAATTTGGATGACTTTTTTAAAAATTTATTTTGTCTGATTGCTGTAGCTAGAACTTCCAGTACTATGTTGAATAACAGTGTTGAAAGTGGGCATCCTTATTGTGTTCCAGATCTAGGGTAATGGCTTTCAGAATTTTCCCATTTAGTATGATACCAGCTGTGGGTCTTTTTATTATGGTGAGGTATGTTCCTTTGATACCCAGTTTTTTGAAGGCTTTTTACACAAAGGGATATTGAATTTTATCAAATGTTTTTTAGCACCAATTGAAATGGTCATATGGTTTTTGTCCTTTACTCTGATGGTATGATGTATCATATTGATTGATTTGTATATGTTGAACCATCTTTGTGTCCCTAGGATAAACCGCAGGGTTATTTATTTGAACCCCATTTGGCCAAGATGAATAATCTCTTTGACGTATTATTGAATTTCATTAGCTAGTATTTTGTTGAGAATTTTTATATCAATATTCATCAGAGATATTGGTCTGTAGTTTTCTTTTGTTGACGTGTCTTTGGTTTTAATATCAGGCTAATACTAACCTCATAGAATGAGACTGGAAGTATAGCGAACTTCTATTTTTGGAATAGTTTGAGTAGGATTGATACTAATTCTTTAAATGTTTGGTAGAATTCAGCAGTGAAACCATTGGGTCCCAAGATAATTGTTTAATGGGAGAGTTTTCATTACAGCTTCAATCTCGTTACTCTTTATTGGTCTGTTCATGTTTTGGATTTCTTATTGGTTTAATCTTGGTAGGTTGTATGTTTATAGGAATTTATCTATTTCATCTGGATTTACCAATTTATTGGCATATAATTGCTCAGAGTAGTCACTAATGATCATTTTAATATCTGAAGTATCAGTTGTACAACTGAAGTATCAGTTGTAAGGTCTCCTTTTCATCTCTGATTTTAATTACTTGAGTCTTCTCTTGTTTTTCATCGTTAGTCTGCATAGAGTTTTTTCAGTTCTGTTTATCTTTTCAAAAAAGCACCTTTTTATTTTATTTGTATGTGTTCTTCATTTCATTTCATTTATTTTGCTCTGATCTTCATTATTTATTTTCTTCTACTAATAGTGGGTTGAGTTTGTGCTTGCTTTTTCAGTTCTTTAAGATGCATCATTAGATCATTTGTTTGAACATTTTCTTCTTTTGATGTAGGCACTTATAGCTATAAACTTCCAGTTAGTACTGCTTTCACTATATTCCATATGTTTTGTTATGTTGTGTGTTCATTAATACTTATCTCAAGTCATTTTTCAACTTTCTTCTTAATTTTTTCATTGTCTCACTGGTCATTCAGGAGCATATTAGTTAATTTCTATGTGTTCATATAGTTTCCAAAATTCCTTTTGTTATTGATTTCTAGTTTTCTTTCACTGTGGTCAGAGAATGTACTTGATATTATTTTAGTTTTTTTTTTAATGTTTTAGGACTTATTTTGTAAACTAACATATGGTATATCCTTAAGAATGATTTATGGCCTGAGGAGAAAAAGTATTGTGCAGCCATTAGATGAAATGTTATATAAATATCTATTAGGTACATTTGTTCTATAATGCAGATTAAGCCCATTTTTTCTTTATTGATTTTCTACCTAGGAGATCTGTCCAATGATGACAATGAGGTGTTGAATTCTTCAGCTATTATTGTATTGAGGTATTGAGGTGAGTCTCTCTCTTTATCTCTAATAATATTTGCTTTATATGCCCCAGTGTTTTATATATATATATATGTATATATATATACATATATATATTTACAATCATTATATCCTCTTGCTGAATTGACTGCTTTATCATTATATAATGACCATTTTTGTTTCTTCTTACTTTTTTTGTCTTGAAACATCTTTTGTCTGATATAAGTATAACTACTTCTGCTCTTTTTTTGTTTCCATTTGAATGGTATATCTTTTTCCAATCCTTTAATTTCAGCCTTCATGACTCTTACAGATGAAGTGTTTCTTGTAAGTAATGGATCATTGGGTCTTGTTTTTTCATCCATTCAGCTATTCTCTATCTTTTTATTGGTTAGTTTACTCCACTTACATTCAGTGGCATTATTAATAAGTAGGACTTACTCCTGCCATTTTGTTATTTGTTTTCTGGTTGTTTTGTGGTCTTCTCTTCCTTGTTTCCTTCTTTCATTTTTTCCTGTCTTCCTTTTAGTGGAGGTGATTTTCTCTGGTGGTAAGATTTATTGCCATTAATAATTTCTTCCTTTTTATTTTTTGTATATCTATTGTATTTTTTTCAATTTCAGAATAATGTCTTATAACCCATTATTTTATACTGATGACAACTTGACACTGATGGTATAAACAAAAAACTAATAAACAGGCAAAAAGAAAACTAATAAAATCTCTACAATTTAACTTTCTGTCCCTGCTTTTTAACTTATTGTTGTTTCTCTTTGTGTCTTATTGTACTGTCTATGCCTTGAAAAGTTGTCGTAATTATTATTTTTTATTAATCATTTAGTCTTTCTACTTAAGATATGAGTAGCTTACACAACACAATTACGTGTTATAATAACCTGTTTTTCTTCGTGCTTACTATTAGCAATGAGTTTTGTACCTTCAGATGATTTCCTCATGCTTATTAATTAATATCATTTTCTTTCAGATTGAAGAATTCCTTTTAGTATGTCTTGTAGGACAGGTCTGGTGTCAATGAAGTCCCTCAACCTTTGTTTGTGTGGGAAGGTCTTTATTTTTACTTCATGTGTGAAGGTTATTTTTGGTGGATATACTATTCTAGGGTAAGAGCCTTTTTTTTTTCCTTTAGTACTTTAAATATATTATGCTACTTCTGGCCTGTAAGGTTTCCACTTAAAAGTCTGCAGCTAGATGTATAGGAGCTCCATCGTATGTTGTCGTTTCACTTCTCTTGCTGCTTTTAGAATCCTTTGTCCTTGACCATTGGGAGTTTTATTACTAAATGCCTTGAGATAGTGTTGTTTTGGTTAAATCTGCTTAGTGTTTTATAACCTTCTTGTGTTTGAATGTTGATATCTTTATATAGGTTTGGGAAATTATCTGATATTATCCCTTTGAATACATTTTCTACCCGTCTCCTTCTCTACTTCCTGTTTAAGGCCAATAACTCTTATATTTGCTCTACTAAGGCTATTTTCTAGATCTCGTATGTGTGCTTTTTTTTTTGTCTCCTCTCACAGTGTATTTTCAAACAGCCTGTCTTCAAGTTCACTAATTCTTACTTCTGCTTGATAAATTCTGCTATTAAGAGATTCTGATACATTACTCAGTATGTCAGTTGCATTTTTCATGTCTAGACTTTGTGCTTGATCTTTTTTATTTCAATGTCTTTGTTAAATTTATCTGATAAAATTCTGAATTACTATTCTGTGTTATCTTGAATTTCTTTGAGTTTCCTCAAAATGACTATTTTAAATTCTCTTTCTGAAAGGATAATCTCTGTTTCTCCAGGATTGGTCTTTGGTGCCTTATTTAGTTCACTTGGTGATGTCATATTTTCCTGGATAGTGCTGATACTTGCAGATGTGTGACTGTGTCTGGGCATTGAAGAGTTGGGTATTTATTACAGCCTTCTCAGTCTAGGCTTGTTTGTGCCTGTACTTATTGGGAAAGCTTTACAAGTATTTGAAGGAACTTGGGCCGTAAGCCCAATAATGTTGTGGTTTTTGCAGACTTGTAGAGGTACCACCTTGGTGGTCTTGGATAAAATCTAGAAAAATTATCTGGATTATGAGGTAGACATTCTTGTTCTTTTCCCTTACTTTCTCCCAAACGAATGGAGTCTCTCTCTCTGCACTGAGTCATCTAGAACTGGGGGTGTGGTGATCCAAGCACCCCTTTGGCCACTGCCACGGGACTCTGCTGAGACAGATCTGAAGCCTGTACTGCACTGGGTCTTACACAAGGCTCTCAGTAACCATTACCAGCTAACACCTATATTCACCCAAGGCTGTAGGGTTCTAAGATCAGTAGTTGGTGAAGCCAGTAAGGTTCGTATCCTTCCCTTTGGGGTGGTGAGTTCCCATGGGCCCCAGGCGGATCCAGAGATACTGTCTGAGAGCCAGGGATTACAGTCAAACACTATACAAAATTATCTGATGTTCTATTCTACCACAGCTAAGTTGGCACTCAAACCACAATACAAAGTCCTTCCCACTTCTCCCTCTCCTTTCCACAGGCAAAGGAGCCTCTCCTTGTGCTTACCACGACTGCCAGCCCATGGGGGTTTGTTCTAGGCCACCGCCAATGTGCACTCAAGAGCCCAAGGGCTCTTGAGTCAGGTTGTGGTAAACGCTGGCAGGCCTGGGACTCACCCTTCATGGCAGTAGGCTCCTTTCTAGCCCAGGGTAGGTCTAGAAATGCTGCCCAAGAACCTAGGCCTGGACTTGAGGACTCCAAATGCCTATTATTTGCTCTGCCCCACTGCGACTGAGTTGGTACCTAAGGTGCAAGACAAAGTCCCCTTGACTTTTCCGTCTGCTTTTCTCAAACAAGAGTCTTTCTCCACAGCTAACACAACTGGGAATGTGCTAGGTCACACCTGAAACCAGCACATCTCAGTCTCACTTAAGGCCGACAGTGTACTACCTGGGTATCACTGCTAGTTATTGAGTGCCTAAAGGCTCTTTAATCAGCAGGAGACAAATCCTGCCAAGACTAGGTCTTTCCCTTCAAGGCAGTGGTTCCCTTTTGGCCCAGACCATGCCTAGAAATGTCATCTGGAGGCTAGGGCATGGAATGGTGGCCTCACAACTCTGCCGGGTGGCGTATCCTATTGTCACTGAGCTGGTACTCAGGATGCAAGACAAAGTCCTCTTTACTCTTTGATCTCCTCTCCTTAAGCAAAATGAAGGAGTCACTTTCATTTCTTGAGCTGATCTGCCTGAAGAGGGGTGACACAAGTTCTCCCTTAGCCGTCCTGGAGGTGTCTCCCTAGGTGACAAGCCGAAGTCCACTGGCTCTAAGCCCAGCCAAACACTAGGACTTGCCTAAGACTTGCAGTCCTTGTGTCCTAGAATATCTTTCAAGTGTACCTAGGACCACAGAACACTTTGGCTCATGGTAGTAAGGTTTGCTGAGAAACTCAAATTCTAACCTCTGGGATAGGCAATGCCCCTTTCTAGGGCTGGTCCAAATGCTCCCTCCATGTATGGGCACTGCCTGGGCCCAGCATGGCTTTTCTCTCCTCTCTGCTATGACAGAACAGCACTGAGTTCAATGTAAAGTCCCCCAAATGCTGTGTTCTCCCTCCCTCAAGTGCACAGGCTCTCTTTGTTGCACAGCTGAAGATGGAGGAGGGGTGGGATTGGCAATTCAGAACTAACTCTTCTACTCTCTTCAATGCCTTTTCAGTGATATAAAGTTAAAAACAGGTACAGTGATTGCTCACCTGATTTTTGGTTCTTGTGATGGTGCTTTTCTGTGTGCAGATAGATATTAAAATTTGATGTTCTCACGGCAGGAGAGACAAATGGTGTAGGCTTCTATTCTGCCATCTTGCTCTGACTCCCTTGAGTTAATTTTTAAAATTAATTTTCTTTTCTAAGACTTTCAGTTTCAGCAAAGATAGATTAGCTTATTTTGGACTGACTTTTTTGCTGCAAATAACTGTAAATGTGAGACAATATATATATGAAATTTTGAAGAATAACCAATAGAGGAAGGATATGAGCATAGACAATCACTGAGAAACATTAAGCATATAAGATAAGCTATATATTCATCTTATGTTTCCTCTGAGGATTTTTTTCTTAATTTTTTATAGAAATAGAGTACAAGCTGAAAGCAGTAGTATTACTGGCTTGAGGAAACAGATGTTGGAGCTTGACATAGTTTAAACAGATTTGTAGAATGCAGGATCATTTCTAAAAAGTAAGAGGCACACCACAGAAGTTACAGCTATACCATGTAAGTGAAAGCAAAACTAAAATAAACCAGACCCAGCCAACCCTTGAGAATGAAAATATTTCCCACAAATTTAAGCAAAAACTGATTATTCTGTAGCCATGGTTGTAAATAGCCATCAAAATCTGAGTTTCATTGATCAGCGGCAACTCAGTGAACACATTTTTACAAGCCAATAAATCAATGTAAATCTCTCATTTATGGTAGTCAGCTAATCATAAACATGATTCCAATAAATATGCATCTATATGCTTGATAACTGATAAACAGCCTATTTTCAAATAACAACCTGTGTGGTTGATGTCAGCTCACTCATGCTTCTGAAAGTCTTCCAATACATGAATTCTGTCCTCATCAAAGTCCCTATGGAAGATGAGTTCTCAGCTCTACTTGGAAATTATATGTCCAATAGAAACAATTTTCCCTTAATATAGTAAGAGATAGTTTCAATTTTTAAAAAATTTTAGACATCAATTTTGATTTCATCATCCAGTGATAATCTAAAACCAACCCAATATAGTATCAAAGAGATCCACTGGTACTCTATCTACCTGCCAAGAGAAAAATAAATCATATATAAAAAGTTATATCACCTAGCCCTTCTAAAATGTTTTCATCCACAATAATATAGGTTCTACTGAAAATTCAGAAACTTGAAATAAAATATGACCAGATGATCAAAAAGGAATAAAAACAGACTATGAAAACAGACCTACAGATGATTCCCATAAGAGTTGCCAAAGTTACTTTAAAATTCTGAGAATACAGTCAAGAAAATAGGAGAAAAGGATAAAATTTCAAAATGTGAAGATTTTCAATAGAGATATTCAATCTATAGAAAAAGTATTAAAATAATTGTAAAGAATTGAAAATAATACAATACCTATAATTAAGAATTCATTAAAATTATCAGCATTCCGGAAACAACAGAAGATATAATTAATGAAATTGAAGACATTTACTTAAATAGAATAAGAGAAAATTTATTCCTGGAATAAGTCATGATGAAAAATAAGTCTTGGAAGATTGTCTGGTGGTATCTACTAAAGCTAAACAGAGTAACTTCATTTCAAGGTATATACCCAAGAGAAATGAATGAATATATCCACCACAAGTCCTGCCCCCAAACATAAATTGCAGCTTTATTTATAATTGCATAAACTAGAAAAAAAATAAGTATTTTATTTTATTTTTAACTTTTATTTTAGGTTCAGGGATACAAATGCATGTTTGTTATATAGATGAATTGCATGTCACAGCAGTTTGGTGTACAGATTATTTTTCACTCAAGTCATAAGAATACTACCCAATAGGTTGTTTGTTTGTTTTTTTATCTAGCTCTCCTACCATCCTCCACCTCAAGGAAGCCCCAGAGTCTGTTATTCCCTTATTTGTGTCCATGTATACTCGATGTTTAGCTCCCACTTATAAGTGAGAAGATGCAGTATTTGGTTTTTGGTTCTTTCATTAGTTCACTAAGGATAATGTCCTCCAGCTCCATTAATGTTCCTGCAAAGAACATTACCTTGTTGCTTTATGGCTTCATAGTATTTCATATGTACCCCATTTTCTTTATCCAGTCTACAGTTGATAAGTTTTAGGTTGATTCAATATCTTTGCTATTGTGACTAGTGCGGCAATGAACATACATTTGCATGTGTCTTTATGGTAGAATGACTTGTATTCTTTTAAGTATATATCCAATAATGGGATTGCTGGGTTGAATAGTAATTATTTAAGTTCTTTGAGAAATTGCCAAACTTTTTTCCACAATGGCTGAACTAATTTACATTCCCACCATCAGTGTATAAATGTTCCCTTTTCTCTGCAACCTGTCCAGCATCTGTAACTTTTTGACTTTTTAATAATAACCATTCTAACTCATGTGAGATGATATCTCATTATTGTTTTGGTTTGCATTTCTCTGATGATTAGTGATGTTGAGTATTTTTTCATATGCTTATTGGCCGCATCTATGTCTTCTTTTTAAAAGGGTTTGCTCGTGTTGTTTGCCCACTTTTTAATGGGGCTGTTTGTTTCTTCTGTGTGTGTTAATTTGTTTAAGCTCCTTATAGATTTTGGATATTAGTCCTTTGTCAGATGTTCTCAAAAATTTTTCTCCCATTTAGTAGGTTGTATATTTACTCCTTTGACAGTTTATTTTGCTCTCCAAAGCTTTTTAGTTTTATTAGGTCTCATTTGTCAATTCTTAAAAAAAAACAAGTATTTATCAGCAGTAAACATTAAATAAATTACGATAAATCACAAAAGGGTACTACACAGCAACAAAAAAGATTGAGCTACTGCTAAGTGTGACAAAATGAATAAATATCACAGATATCTGAAAGAAAACAGAAACTGAGTACGTCTGTACATGCAGTATGATTTTATTTACATACGATTCAAAACAGGCAGAATTAATCTATGGTGGAAAAAATGTGTACTTTAAAAGGAAAAAATTGAGTCACATTACTGTTGTTAAATTCACCCTCACATCTTCAATTAGGATAGAACACACATCTATTCCTCCTTGTACAAAAGAAGGAGGCAAAAACAATAATAAAAAAAAAGAAAAAGAAAAATATAGATACCAGCAAGAAACTATCCTTTTCCCTTCACTTTAATTTTGTTAGTGCTTGACCTCTCCCAATACCTAGAATCCAACCAACTAAGTAAGGATTTAAAGATACAACTGAAGTATAATATTTTGGCTAAGAAAAAAATCTAGTTTTGAATTTCATTTTACATGTTTTCAGAATATCCATACAATAATTTTTGAGTAGTGTTAGGTTTTATTTCTTGAAATGAATTTTCTGCAAATAGTGTTTAAGAAATCTGATAACAGACTGTGACCTAATTCTGAATACCTGAGAAAGAGGTGATATCTCAGGTGACCACCTCAAAGGCACAGAAAATGAATCAGCTGTTTCTCATTATCACCCA
The DNA here is from genome assembly GCF_000001405.40 of Homo sapiens. Classification (NCBI taxonomy): domain Eukaryota; kingdom Metazoa; phylum Chordata; class Mammalia; order Primates; family Hominidae; genus Homo; species Homo sapiens. The sequence continues at coordinate 196,870 of NW_015148967.1, forward strand.
CCTTCGAGGTACAGCAGCAACATTTCTTCACCTTTACAAAGGTCTAAGGTGGTAATTATGTCTGCATTCTTCTTTTATGATAGACATAGCAGCCTACAAAAAGCATTAATTCAACCTTGTTGATTACATTACTTCTAGCTACAAAGGTAGCACATTGTTTATTTTCTGAAATGACTTATTACACATCTGGCTTTAGTAGATTAAAGAAAATATAAGCTCATTTGAATTTGCATGCATAAACTGGAACTATTGATAGATGAGACTGTAGCATTAAAATGTTTTATGTTAATTTTTTTCTATGACAACAGTTTTATAAAACCACGTACTTTAAATGAATGCCAACCCAAACTGGCATTAGAATCGTTGACATTCCAGTACAATCACTCTAAATGTAATAATATTTAAATGAAAATATCTGAGGTTTTACATTTTTAATATAATTTCAGTAAGAATGCAGTGAAACAACAGGTGAAGTATTATAAAATTTTCTGTATAGTGTGCTAAAGATTAAGAAAATGAATTCTATTTCTTTTATCTTATCACTTATATATATAAAGAGTACAAAATCAAACATTTTTAAAAATTGAAAAATAATTCTAAATATCTCCCTATACATATGATAATATTATACTCAAATATTTTGAACCTATAGAATGACTTTTGGGAGTATTTTGGTTGTGCTCCTGTGGGTGTGTGTTGATGTGCATTACACTTAATTTTAATTTTTATAGATACATAATAGTTGTACATATTTATATATTACATGTACAAACAATGTACTTATTGGATGATTAATAAAAACGTTGTCATTATAGATTTATGTGAATTTAAAAAAAATGGAGCACCAAAACAACTAATGTTTTTCTAAAGGATCACTTCCAGTGAGAAGATAACCTCTTGCTTTATAAATCTGTTAAAGGAAATGTATATTAATTGGTGATGGTACCCTTCCTTTACTTGTAAAGATTTTTCTGGTGTGTGTGTGTGTGTGTGTGTGTGTGTGTGCGTGTGTTTAAATTTCCACTTAATAGTTTTTTTGTGCTCAATAGAATTTATTTATTTATTTATTTATTTACTTATTTATTTTTAAGACAGAGTCTCACTCTGTCACCCAGGCTTGAGTGCAGTGGCGTGATCTCGGCTCACTGCAACCTCTGCCGCCCAGGTTCAAGAAATTCTCCGGCCTCAGCCTCCCGAGTAGCTGAGGTTACAGGCACCTGCCACCACTCCCAGCTAATTTTTGTATTTGTAGTAGAGATGGGGTTTCACCATATTGGTCAGGCTGGTCTTGAACTCCTGACCTCATGATCCACCCGCCTCGGCCTCCCAAAGTGTTAGGATTACAGGAGTGAGCCATGGCGCCCGGCCGTGCTCAATAGAATTTAAATGTTATGTTTGATTTGGTAGATACACTGTAACCCCAAGCTTGAAAAAAAAAATTTTCAAGAGAAAAGTCTCTCTATCCATAGATCAAATTTATAGGTAAAATTTCAAGTAAGCTCACAGTTTACTGAACATTCAATACTCAAATGTATTATAAGTCATTTTCAAACAAAGATATTGAAGTGTAAGAGGTAATAGCCTAAGACTGATCATCTGCCAAGTGACCTGTTTTTTATATATATATATATATACACACACACACAATATATATACATAATATGACCTTTCATTTATATATATATATACACATGTATATATTATATATACATATATATATACACATTTTATATATATGTATATATGAAAAGTATTTTCTCTTTCTCAAAATGTTACAGAAACTGGCTTAGGTTAGGTTTAGAAAATTCAACTTCCTCAGTTGCAGTGCTTGGATACTAAGACTCTACCTCTAGCTCTGTCATTAAAGGGAAAGACTGATGCTTCACCAAACACAAAGGCTAGAGTGGTAAAGTCTGTCATTGGATTGCTCCGCCACATAGTTGCAACCACAAGGATTAAACTCCAGCCCTGTAATAATACCATAAAAATGCTGGTTCTTCCACTAACCATCAATGCTGAACCATCAGGATGAAGCTGTAGCGAAGATTTTAACAAGTCACATTACTGTCATATCCTGATCACATTAATAAGGCAGCTCAAAGCTCCCCAGCTCACAGGTCAGATCTTGTACTCAAAACTTCCGAGTACGATGAGCAATCCTGATTGTTACTGTTCTCTTTCCATGATATATCACATATATGGACACTAAAATGCATTAGAAGTTCCTTATCTAGGTAGGTTTGCAAAAATAATATCATGACCTCCTAAACCTGAAGGAATACATTCAAGGAAAAATAATGAGGTTAGGCAATAACATGTCAAATTGTAAATTTATTTAAAACTGGTTTACCAATTTTAATTAATTTGAATATAATTTTAATGACAAACCTGTGTTACTTAAGTGTCCTATTGTTCTGTCAATTGATTTAAAAAAGATAGGTACATATATATAACATACGTTTCTGTTTATATTTACATATAATATATAGTATTTTACAATGATTCTTCCTTCTCTTTATAAACAAAGTAAACAGTTTCTGCTGGGCTAAGTCAGATATTTCCTGATCACCTAACTAAGAGAAGAAAAATAAAATAGATTTTTCCAGCCCACGGTTGTTTCATTATTCCAGACAACACTTTATATTGATCCTTCTCTATTTATTTCTAATTTTGTTGCCACTGATTGAGTTGAGCTCTAAATCTTCTGATGGCTTACATGCTGTTAGGATGCTGCATTGCTACCAGAAGCACCAGGTAGCAATGTTCTCATTTTAAACTCTAATTTGGTCTTATTTGCAGCAAATTAAGGTGTCTGATGTAGCACTTTAGCACCCAAAATGCATTATTTTACGTCTTTCATAATTCACCCTCACAGAAAATATGTTGTATGTGATCATTACGAGTTTGTATATTAGATATCTAGAATAAGAACTGTGAATCAGATAAATAAACATAGAAATTGCCCCACAATCCACCAATATATGTGGCAAAGCTTGAGTCTCTAAATCATTATATTTCCAATTTCTTTGTTTAAAACTTGCCAGAAAAGCAAAATGTGACATGAAAAGGGTTTGAAAGGTATACCTATTTTAAGGATTATTTCCTGTTATAGATGCTGAATCCTGACTTTTGGATAAGGTTTTGTTTTGAAGAGATGTCTCAATGAAGGATTATATATGTAGTACATTTACTCATGGACATACAATGAGAACTACTGATTACTCACATCAACAATTTTTTTGGAATATAAAAATTAAGGCAGTGTAATTTATGAAAAGAATAGATGAATGAGAAGGATGAGGAGTCTGGAAAAATGGCCCGAATTTGGGCTACTGCCATAACTATTTAGGTAAGACCCCATGCCTGAAACACAGTATAGTTATTTAGTAAGGAGAAGAACACACAATAAGAAGAAAAAAATTAATGTAGATTTTTAGAATTATAGAAAATATAGCTAAATGTGTATTTTGAAATACAGGTACTGGTTTTACATTTTGTCATTTTTATTTACATTTTACACATTGTGAAATAAAAAGGCTGCATTGATTGCTTTTTAACATCACTTCTTCGCTTTGGATGGGTTTGTCTTTTGTTGTTGTTGTTTACAGGAGACCCACTTTATTTTTTTTATTATTATTATACTTTAAGTTCTAGGGTACATGTGCACAACGTGCAGGTTTGTTACATATGTATACAAGTGCCATGTTGGTGTGCTGCACCCATTAACTCGTCATGTACATTAGGTATATCTCCTAATGCTATCCCTCTCCCCTTCCCCCACCCCATGACAGGCCCCAGTGTGTGATGCTCCCCTTCCTGTGTCCAAGTATTCTCATTGTTCAATTCCCACTTATGAGTGAGAACATGCAGTGTTTGGTTTTTTGTCCTTGCGATAGTTTGCTGAGAATGATGGTTTCCAGCTTCATCCATGTCCCTACAAAGGACATGAACTCATCCTTTTTTATGGCTGCATAGTATTCCATGGTGTATATGTGCCACATTTTCTTAATCCAGTCTATCATTGATGGATATTTGGGTTGGTTCCAAGTCTTTGCTATTGTGAATAATGCTGCAATAAACATACGTGTGCATGTTTGTCTTTTTTATGGCCTTTTCACACTTTTTTTTTTTTTTTTACTGAGGCCATGGGTCATACCTTATTCCTTTCATCCTTAAAACTGGACAAATTGTTATTGGACCAAATTTACCACACTTGGCAATAAAATGGTTTACCAGTCTTTATTTTTAAGAAAACACCGTAAGTTTTGTAAAATTTCTGTAGTTACACTTACTACACTTCTCAAGCTATCATAATTATCTCACATTCATTACTCAAAAACAGTGATTAGCAAATTCTGCCACAAAAGATAATGCATAACATAAAGCTTTAAGCTGCAGGAAACATCCTAGAGTTTTGTGTGGCCTTCATGATAGCTTTAGGCACCACATCATATTATAGTTGCGAGAAATTGAATTTAGAGAGGTCCAAACTGAAACTAATTGACCTTTGTCTTTCTATCACCCTTATTTTTATCTCTAACATTGTATCCACTTCCATCACCATGGAATTATTTGCAATGCCCTACTGGCTGATGTGGGTTCATCACAACTTCTGGTGAATTTGCTCACCAATTAGCAACCCCTGGGAAGAGAGGTAGATAAAACATAGACTTTCAAACATGTTATGTGATTACATTGGGTCATTTTCTAAATACAATTAAAAACTCAACTATAGCTATGGTCAACACGAGTAAAGTGGCTGAAAGTTTTGCAAAATTTATAAGTTATACAAGACATTGTAAATTAAGCAGAGGTTTTCCAGTTGTTCTTCATCCAATGTGCAATAAATTAAAAAACTGGTTTTACAAGATGTGATATGAAGGAGCATTATGGGACCATTTACATTTTGTATGTATCTTATATTTTAAAGTAAGATAAAGTGCAAGAACTCATTAAACAATGAATACTTCTTGGCTATGATGTTTTAGAGTTGTTGTTTGTGCTAGTTATAGTTTCTGAAAATTTAGTCAAAAGATAAAAGCATTTAATGTAGGAAATAAATGAATACTCAAACATAGCAACATGACTACACAATTTTGCATTTGTAAATGAGACATACTGATAGACTTTTGTTTAAAAGACTTTCCAGGGTGGAGCCAAGATGGCCGAATAGGAACAGCTCCAGTCTACAGCTCCCAGTGTGAGCAATGCAGAATACGGGCGATTTCTGCATTTCTAACTGAGGTACTGGGTTCATCTCACTGGGGAGTGTTGGAAAGTGGGTGCAGGACAGTGGGTGCAGCGCACTGAGCACCAGCCGAAGCAGGGAGAGGCATTGCCTCACCCAGGAAGTGCAAGGGGTCAGGGAATTCCCTTTCCTAGTCAAAGAAAGGGGTGACAGATGGCACCTGGAAAATCGGGTCACTCCCACCCTAATACTGTGCTTTTCCAATGGTCTTAGCAAAGGGCAAACCAGGAGATTATATCCCATGCCTGGCTCGGAGGGTCCCATGGCCATGGAGCCTCGCTCATTGCTAGCACAGCAGTCTGAGATCAAACTGCAAGGCGGCAGTGAGGCTGGGGGTGGGGCGCCTGCCATTGCCAAGGCTTGAGGAGGTAAACAAAGCCGCTGGGAAGCTCAAACTGGGTGGAGCCCAACGCAGCTCAAGAAACCTGCCTGCCTCTGTAGACTCCACCTATGGGGGCAGGGCACAGGCAAACAAAAGGGAGCAGAATCCTCTGCAGACTTAATTGTCCCTGTCTGACAGCCTTGAAGAGAGTAGTGGTTCCCCAGCACGCAGCTAGAGATCTGAGAACAGACAGACTGCCTCCTCAAGTGGGTCTCTGACCCCCGAGTAGCCTAACTGGGAGGCACCCCCAAGTAGGGGCAGACTGACACCTCACATGGCCGGGTACTCCTCTGAGACAAAACTTCTAGAGGAACAATCAGGCAGCAACATTTGCTGTTCACCAATATCCGCTGTTCTGCAGCCTCTGCTGCTGATACCCAGGCAAACAAGAGTCTGGAGTGGACCTCCAGCAAACTCCAACAGACCTGCAGCTGAGGGTCCTGACTGTTAGAAAGAAGACTAACAAACAGAAAGGACATCCACACCAACACCCCATCTGTATGTCACCATCATCAAAGACCAAAGGTAGATAAAACCACAAAGATGGGGAAAAACCAGAGCAGAAAAACTGGAAACTCTAAAAATCAGAGCACCTCTCCTCCCCAAAAGGAATGCAGCTCCTCACCAGCAATGGAACAAAGCTGGATGGAGAATGACTTTGATGAGTTGAGAGAAGAAGGCTTCAGACGATCAAAGTACTCCGAGCTAAAGGAGGAAGTTCGAACCCATGGCAAAGAAGTTAAAAACCTTGAAAAAAAAAAAAAAAAACAGACAAATGGCTAACTAGAATAACCAATGCAGAGAAGTCCTTAAAGGACCTGATAGAGCTGAAAACCAAGGCACGAGAACTACGTGACGAATGCACAAGCCTCAGTAGCCGATTTGATCAAATGGAAGAAAGGGTATCAGTGATGGAAGATGAAATGAATGAAATGAAGCGAGAAGAGAAGTTTAGAGAAAAAAGAATAAAAAGAAACGAACAAAGCCTCCAAGAAATATGGGACTATGTGAAAAGACCAAATCTATGTCTGATAGGTGTACCTGAAAGTGACGGGTAGAATGGAACCAAGTTGGAAAACACTCTGGAGGATATTATCCAGGAGAACTTCCCCAATCTAGCAAGGCAGGCCAACATTCATATTCAGGAAATACAGAGAACGCCACAAAAATACTCGTTGAGAAGAGCAACTCCAAGACACATAATTGTCAGATTCACCAAAGTTGAAATGAAGGAAAAAATGTTAAGCGCAGCCAGAGAGAAAGGTCGGGTTACCCACAAAGAGAAGCCCATCGGACTAATAGCTGAACTCTAGGCAGAAACTCTGCAAGCCAGAAAAGAGTGGGGGCCAATATTCAACATTCTTAAAGAAAAGAATTTTCAACCCAGAATTTCATATCCAGTCAAACTAACCTTCATAAGTAAGTGAAGGAGGAATAAAATCCTTTACACACAAGCAAACGCTGAGAGATTTTGTCACCACCAGGCCTGCCCTACGCTCCTGAAGGAAGCACTAAACATGGAAAAGAACAACTGGTCCCAGTGACTGCAAAAACATGCCAAATTATAAAGACCATAGAGGCTAGGAAGAAACTGCATCAACTAACGAGCAAAATAACCAGCTAACATCATAATGACAGGATCAAATTCACACTTAACAATATTAACCTTAAATGTAACTGGGCTAAATGCTCCAATTAAAAGACACAGACTGGCAAATTGGATAAAGAGTCAAAACCCATCAGTGTGCTGTATTCAGGAAACCCATCTCACGTGCAGAGACACACATAGGCTCAAAATAAAGGGGTGGAGGAAGATCTATCAAGCAAATGGAAAACAAAAAAAGGCAGGGGTTTCAATCCTACTCTCTGATAAAACAGACTTTAAACCAACAAACATCAAAAGAGACAAAGAAGGCCGTTACATAATGGTAAAGGCATCAATTCAACAAGAAGAGCTAACTATCCTAAATATATATGCACCCAATACAGGAGCACCCAGACTCATAAAGCAACTCCTTAGAGACCTACAAAGAGACTTAGACTCCCACACAATAATAATGGGAGACTTTAATACCCCACTGTCAACATTAGACAGATCAACGAGACAGAAAGTTAACCAGGATATCCAGGAATTGAACTCAGCTCTGCACCAAGTGGACCTAATAGAAATCTACAGAACTTTCCACCCCAAACCAACAGAATATACATTCTTTTCAGCACCACACCACACTTATTCCAAAATTGACCACATAGTTGGAAGTAAAGCACTCCTCAGCAAATGTCAAAGAAAAGAAATTATAACAAACTGTCTCTCAGACCACAGTGCAATCAAACTAGAACTCAGGATTAAGAAACTCACTCAAAACTGCTCAACTACATGGAAACTGAACAACCTGCTTCTGAATGACTACTGGGTACACAACAAAATGAAGGCAGAAATAAAGGTGTTCTTTGAAACCAACGAGAACAAAGACACAACATACCAGAATTTCTGGGACACATTCAAAGCAGTGTGTAGAGGGAAATTTATAGCACTAAATGCCCACAAGAGAAAGCAGGAAATATCTAAAATTGACACCCTAACATCACAATTAAAAGAACTAGAAAAGCAAGAGCAAACACATTCAAAAGCTAGCAGAAGGCAAGAAATAACTAAGATCAGAGCAGAACTGAAGGAGATAGAGACACAAAAAACCCTTCAAAAAATCAATGAATCTAGGAGTTGGTTTTTTGAAAAGATCAACAAAATTGATAGACCTCTAGCAAGACTAATAAAGAAGAAAAGAGAGAAGAATCAAACAGACGCAACAAAAAAATGATAAAGGGGATATCACTACCGATCCCACAGAAATACAAACTACCATCAGAGAATACTATAAACACCTGTATGAAAATAAACTAGAAAATCTAGAAGAAATGGATAAATTCCTCAACACATACACCCTCCCAAGACTAAACCAGGAAGAAGCTGAATCTCTGAATAGACCAATAACAGGCTATGAAATTGAGGAAATAATTAATAGCTTATGAACAAAAAAAGTCGAGGATCAAATGGATTCAGAGCCGAATTCTACCAGAGGTACAAGGAGGAGCTGGTACCATTCCTTCTGAAACTGTTCCAATCAATAGAAAAAGAGGGAATCTTCCCTAACTCATTTTATGAGGCCAGCATCATCCTGATACCAAAGCCTGGCAAAGACACAACAAATAAAGAGAATTTTAGACCAATATCCCTGATGAACATCGATGCAAAAATCCTCAATAAAATATTGGCGAACTGAATCCAGCAGCACATCAAAAAGCTTATCCACCATGATCAAGTGGGCTTCATCCCTGGGATGCAAGGCTGGTTCAACATACACAAATCAATAAACGTAATCCAGTATATAAACAGAACCAATGACAATAACCACATGATTATCTCAATAGATGCAGAAAAGGCCTTTGACAAAATTCAACAACCCTTCACGCTAAGAACTCTCAATAAATTAGGTATTGATTGGACGTATCTCAAAATAATAAGAACTATCTATGACAAACCCACAGTCAATATCATACTGAATGGGCAAAAACTGGAAGCATTCCCTTTGAAAACTGGCACAAGACAGGGATGCCCTCTCTCACCACTCCTATTCAACATAGTGTTGGAAGTTCTGGCCAGGGCAATTAGGCAGGAGAAGGAAATACAGGGTATTCAATAAGGAAAAGAGGAAGTCAAATTATCCCTGTTTGCAGATGACATGATTGTATATCTAGAAAACTCCATCGTCTCAGCCCAAAATCTCCTTAAGCTGATAGGCAACTTCAGCAAAGTCTCAGGATACAAAATCAATGTACAAAAATCACAAGCATTCTTATACACCAATAACAGACCAACAGAGAGCCAAATCACGAGTGAACTCCCATTCACAATTGCTTCAAAGAGAATAAAATACCTAGGAATCCAACTTACAAGAGACATGAAGGACCTCTTCAAGAGAACTACAAACCACTGCTCAATGAAATAAAAGAGGATACAAACAAATGGTAGAACACTCCATGCTTATGGGTAGGAAGAATCAATATCATGAAAATGGCCATACTGACCAAGGTAATTTATAGATTCAATGCCATCCCCATCAAGCTACCAATGACTCTCTTCACAGAATTGGAAAAAACTACTTTAAAGTTCATATGGAACCAAAAAAAAGCCAAAAGAACAAAGCTGGAGGCATCACGCTACCTGACTTCAAACTACAAGCCTACAGTAACCACAACAGCATGGTACTGGTACCAAAACACAGATATAGACCAACGGAACAGAACAGAGCCCTCAGAAATAACACCACACATCTACAACCATCTGATCTTTGACAAACCTGACAAAAACAAGCAATGGGGAAAGGATTCCCTATTTAATAAATGGTGCTGGGAAAACTGGCTAGCCATATGTAGAAAGCTGAAACTGGACCCCTTCCTTACACCTTATACAAAAATTAATTCAAGATGGATTAAAGACTTAAATGTTAAACCTAAAGCCATAAAAACCGTAGAAGAAAACCTAGGCAATACCATTGAGGACATAGGCATGGGAAGGACTTCATGTCTAAAACACCAAAAGCAATGGCAACACAAGCCAAAATTGACAAATGGGATCTGATTAAACTAAAGAGCTTCTGCACAGCAAAAGGAACTACCATCAGAGTGAACAGGCAACCTACAGAATGGAAGAAAATTTTTGCGATCTACTCATCTGACAAAGGGCTAATATCCAGAATCTACAATGAATTCAAACAAATTTACAAGAAAAAAACAAACAACCCCATCAAGAAGTGGGCGAAGGATATGAACAGACACTTCTCAAAAGAAGACATTTATGCAGCCAAAAGACACATGTAAAAATGCTCATCATCACTGGCCATCAGAGAAATGCAAATCAAAACCACAATGAGATACCATCTCACACCAGTTAGAATGGCTATCATTAAAAAGTCAGGAAAGAACAGGTGCTGGAGAGGATGTGGAAAAATAGGAGCACCTTTACACTGTTGGTGGGACTGTAAACTATTTCAAAATTGTGGAAGTCAGTGTGGCGATTCCTCAGGGATCTAGAACTAGAAATACCATTGGACCCAGCCATCCCATTACTGGGTATATAGCCAAAGGATTATAAATCATGCTGCTATAAAGGCACATGCACACGTTTATTGTGGCACTCTTTACAATAGCAAAAACTTGGAACCAAGCCAAATGTCCAACAATGATAGACTGGATTAAGAAATGTGGCACATATATACCATGGAATACTCTGCAGCCATAAAAAAGGATGAGTTCATGTCCTTTGTAGGGACATGGATGAAGATGGAAACCATCATTCTCAGCAAACTATTGCAAAGTCAAAAAACCAAACACCGCATGTTCTCACTCATTTGTGGGAATTTAACAATAAGAACTCGTGGACACCGGAAGGGGAATAGCACACTCCGGGATCTGTTGTGGGGTGGGGGGAGGAGGGAGGGATAGCATTAGGAGATATACCTAATGTTAAATGACGAGTTAATGGGTGCATCACACCAACATGGCACATGTATACATATGTAACTAACCTGCACGTTGTGCACATGTACCCTAAAACTTAAAGTATAATAAAAATAAATAAAAATAAAAGACTTTCCAGAACATGTGTTTTCCTAAGCAAAGCAAGCATTCATGTAATTTTTTTCCCTACAACATATGTGTATATTCACTAATATTAAAAGTTCAATTTTTGGAACAGATATACTTCTGTCAAGAGTAGTAGAAATAAAATCAGTAGAAAACTTATGTTGTCTTTTTGAGATTTTTTTCCATATTGACTTCTATTAATCTTGGAAAGATTTATGTTATTTTATATAAGGGGTAAGGAATGTATTATTTTGCCTTAATTCATTTTCAAGTTCAAAAGACTCAATTTTTAGACACAATACAGTGTGTTTTATAACATAAAATAATATACAGCAGTTTAATTTTCATGTAAAATAACTTTAATTTTGTCTTCAGAAATATAGAATAAAATAAGTTTGAAAGAGCATGAAATCCACCAGCTTTTCTGGCACATAGGCCAAATGTGGACTCAGGCTGCTCCTTAAGGAACATGACAAATTTGAGTACCACAGCCTTTCTTGAGATGTACCCAGTAACCAAAAGAACATGCGTAATTCTTTAAAAAATTAAAGAAATGTGACTTGAAAATGAATATTTTTCATGGAAAACTTTTAGACTTACCCATATTTATAGTTGAACAACTGATTAAATGATATGAAAAGAACATTTGGATTTGTTTAGAAAATCCAAATTTCAAAATAAATCCAAATGTTCAAAATAAAATAGAATAACATGTTAATTTATATCGATCACACAAAGAGCAAAAGAACTATAAGATCTATTTATGGCAAGACTTTAGAGGTCATAGTCAATAGAAATGTGAATTGATGTAATTTGTTTGGAAAAACACCTTGTGAACCTAAGTCATTCCCCTGGATATATCCCATGGAAATCAAAGTAAGTGAATGCTTCCAGCATTTGTATTGCAGCATTGGATGCTGGGCTAACATAAAGAAATACTGTGCATGTTCATAATTTAAAAAATTCAAAGATGATGGTACATTCATGTCATGTACTCTCATATGGATATTAAAAATACATTGGAGGGATACCAGTCAATTGAATCTGCAAGGTCTTATTGAGTAAAAAGCCATGACTCAAAATAGTATAGTATGATCCCATATATGTTTGATTATAATTACACAAGCATAGATATGAAAACACATTCCACCAGTAAACAGGAGTGGTCAGAGTAGTAATATCAGTTGAGAAAAAGCAAAAAGTTCAAGGGAGAAAGATGAGCAAAAGAGGAAAATTTAAAAAGTAAACCAAACATTATACACTATGTAACCTAACCACATTTATAAGATGTTTAAAAACACATATATATATAATGAATTAAATATAATTTAAATTTTCAATTTTAAGTAGTCTAAAATTAAAAATATGAAACATATTTTATAATATGATATTAAAACAAGACTAATTTTTCAAGTAAACTACTTTCATATATGTGTATGTGTGTCTGTGTGTGTGTGGTGGGTGGAGAGGCTTAAGATGTCAGACAATCTATGAATGCAATCTTGTAACACAAAGAAAATAAAAATAATTCTTAATTCATTTATTAATCATAGAACAAATGCTGCCTTATGGAGAAAAGTGAAAAGTATAGTTACTTGAATGCCTATTATTTTCCTGACATTATTTATTCAGTAAATGTTTGTTGAGTTTCTACTATTTGCCAAGTTCTGTGTGAAGCATATAGGATATAGCAGTAAAGTGAAGTGGCATGGTCTCTGTTTTTTGGGCTAATAATATAAGACACAAGATATAAAATAAATCAAAATAAGTAACATAGTTCCAATGTAAAGGCAGTAATCATTGTTGCTGGGAAAGAGAGTAAGTGTGAAAGCCATATTATATATGGCAGTTAGGAAAGAACTACCTAGGCCTGCAGTCTGCAGATACATGAAAACAAGGGTAAGTGTTCCATGCATTGTGTTAAGGACTTGTAATGATCAGTTATATGAGTGGACCTCAAGAAGTTTGAGAAAAAAGTTCAATAAACGGATAGAAATTAAAAATATAAACTTTATTTCTCAACATAAGCTCCATCACATTCAAAACACTTTTGTAAGTGATACCAGCCATTTAGTGCATCCCTAAATAACTGAGGGTCCTGAAAATTTAACCATGTCAATGCAGTCTTTTTTACATGATTAACTGAAGGAAAATGGGTGCCCTTTTGAGATTTTTTTTTTTTTTTTTGGATTAGGAAACATAAAGAAGTCAAACATAGCCGAATCTAGAGTTAAAGGTGGATGCCTAATGACTTCCTACCAAAACTCTTGCAAAATTTCCCTTGTTTGATGAAAGGAATGAACAGGAGCATTGTCATGGTGGAGAGGGACTCTCTGGTGAAGCTTTCTCAGGCATTTTTCTGCTATAGTTCTGGCTAACTTTATCAAATCTCATAATAAGCAGATGTTATTATTCTTTGGCCCTCTAGAAAGTCAATAAGCAAAATACCTCAAGATCCCAAAAAACTATTACTATGGCCTTTCCTCTTCACTGGTCCACTTTGGTTTGAAGAGATAACTTCCACCTCTGGGAAGCCATGGCAATGATTGTGATTTGTCTTTAGGACCATACTGGTAAAGCCATTTCATCTCCTGTTACAGTTCTTTGAAGGAATGCTTTAGGATCTTGATCTCACTTGTTTAACTCAACAGGATTTTCTGTATTGATGGAAATGTTCTATATTTGTCCTGTCCAATACAATATCCACTAGCCACTACTGAGCACTAGAAATATGACTATTACATCTAGAGAGCTAAGTTGTAAATGTTATTTAATTAGAATTAATTTAAATTTTAATATAATAGCCAGATGTGGTTACTGGCTATGTATTCGGCAGCACAGATCATGACTGATGTTACTATATATATACTGTTCCGACCTTAATTGGGCTTTCAATGAAGTCCAGAAACTTGGTAATTTTCTTCTTAACTTTCTCTCTCAATCTTTACTATTTTAGATAAGAGTCAGGCTTCTCCAAGTTCTTTAATCTTATTCTCTACCTTCTTTCTCACTTTCATTAAATGACTGACTTTTTAACACACAATATACTCCATTAAGCTACTGTCACAAACACCGTGAACTTACTGCAAACACACCAATCATTTTCTGTTACCATCCAGTCACAATGAATAAAATGTCACTAATCTTCTAAAAAAAATAATTATTCCGGCCGGGCACGGTGGCTCACGCCTGTAATCCAGCACTTTGGGATGCCGAGGTGGGCAGATCACAAGGTCAGGAGTTTGAGACTAGCCTGGCCAGTATGGTGAAACCCCATCACTACTAAGAATAAAAAAATTAGCTGAGCATAGCGGCACACGCCTGTAGTTCCAGCTACTCAGGAGGCTGAGGCAAGAGAATCACCTGAACCTGGGAGGCGGAGGTTGCAGTGAGCCGAAATTGCGCCACTGCACTCTAGCCTGGGCGACAGAGAGAGACTCCATCTCAAAAATAAATAAATAAATAAATTATTATTATTTCAAATATGGTCTGGGGTGTTTGAATATTTATTATTATTAGTTAGTCCCCCTCTCCCTATATCTTTAATTTATTCTTTTATTCTAGATCATTTCTCTAATATTTTAATATGCCCAATTTCCTTGAGAATTTTTTCTCACTCTACCTCACATTGCACACTAACTAACATTCATTCTTGTATTAAAACACACAGTCAAAACCTACATGATAAATCATCTGTTAATAAAAATCAATATTTTTCAATCCTTATCCTATAAAAGTGAGATTTTTGACATAATACCAGAACTTTCTCCACCTTCTGGTCTTCTTCTCAATCTCCTTTTCAAAATCTCTTTCCTATGTTTATCCATTAAATATTCCTCAGGCCACTTTATTAACTCTCGCCTCCTCAGACCCTTAGCCATCTCCCTGAGCTTCAAGTAATGATTCCCAGCTCATGGCAGACAGATGCACTACACAAATTTCTTTCCACAGACAGACTCGTGCCCCACCGTTGGGGAAGGAACTTGTAAGCTAGCTTTCAGCACGCAGTAGCTTCAGGGTCTGTATCAGCTGCAGAGAACAAACTCCCCTGATGTTATATCATAGGTAATCCTTGCTGCAGCATTCCGTACCAAGTAGGCTGAAGCCTCCTTAGGCCTGTGTAACGGTTTAGCAGTTTCTTCTGTCTAGTTCTACTTCTTCCACATACACAAATATAGGTGGGTGCAAAAGTAGCTGCGGTTTTTGCAATTACTTTTAATGGGGAAACTGCAATTAATTTTGCACCAATCTAATAGATACAAGATGTAATGGAAGAGAAAAACAATTTAAAAGAGTAAGAAAAATATAAAATGCTGGGGATTTGATTTTTTTTAATGCAACATCTCTATGGAAAGAAAAGAAAACTACTGAAAGGATTGCAAGTATATTTGAACAAATGGAAAGCCATTTTTTGTTCCTGGATAACTTACACAACAACATTAAGGTGTAAAGATGCCTAGCTAATCTGCTTTTCTGATACACAGACACACACATGTATGTATGTGTATGTGTTTGTATGTGTATATATCCACCCTAATAAAATTAAACACACTATATTTAAGGAACTATAAGAACATATCAAAATCAACACAATCTCAATACACAAGTCTCTTGCCTTACTAATGTCCTTTTATACACGATGCAATCCAAATACAATTGTTAACAAGCTATTATTCATTTTTATCTAAAACAACAAATATTAATAATGAAGTTCCTATGGAAAGTTAAAATTAAGAAAGAACTTTTAAAAATCTCTTGAAAAGGGGAGCCATAGGAGATACCAGACAAGCTAGACATTAAAATATACTATTAATGTCTGCATAGCAACATGGCTGTACTATTGACTTGAATATTGACTTTGTATTCTTGCTTAACATATTTAAACACATTGACTCTTTGTCAAGTCTTTGAGATTTTCTATACAGAAAAACAAGTCTCGGGTAAATAGATTCATTTTTTATTTTTCTCCTTTAAATTTCATATGCATTTTATTTTTTTTTCTTTTATTGCATTGGCTGGAAATTCCACTGTGATGTTGATCAGCAATAATGAGAGTGGACATTCTTGGTCTCTTCCTGAACTTAGAGAGCAAGAAGGCACTTTATTAAGGTAGGATCATTAATATAGTTTGGCTCTGTGTCCGCACCTAAATCTCATCTCAAATTCTAATCTCCTGTGTCAAGGGAAGGACCTGGTGAGAGGTGGTTAGATTATGGAGACAGTTTCCACTATGCTGTTCTTGTGACAGTAAATTCTCAAGAGATCTGATCATTTAAAAGTGTGGCACTTCCCCCTTGCTTACTCTGTCTCTCTCTTTCCTGCTGCCATGTAACATGTGCTTTGCTTCCCCTTCACCTTCTGCCATGATTGTAAGTTTTCCGAGGCCTCTCCAGGCAGGCAAAACTGTCAGTTGATTAAACTTCTATTAAACAAAAGAGGTTTAATAAATTAACCAGTGTTGGGTACTATCTGTATAGCAGTACAAAAGTGGAGTAATACAGTGATAATCTTCTATTCATTATTTGCTAAGAATATTTATCATGAATTGATGTTGAATTTTGTCAAATGCTCTTTCTTTGTCAATTGAGAAAATCATATTGTATTTTTCCTTTAGTATATTAATCTGGTGATTTACATTGTTTTTTGTTTGTTTATTTGTTTTATTTTTGAAGCACTTTGTGCATTCCTAGGATGAACCAAACTTAGTGGTGAGCTATTACCTCTTATATATATTGCTGAATATAATATGCTAATGTTTTGTTGAGGAGCTTTTCATCTACTTTAACAAGGTATATTGACCTCTAGTTTCCTTCGTTTAATTACTTTTTTTAAATTAAAGCAATATCATCTTTATATGATGAGGTGAGAAGTGTTTACTTCCCTTCTATTTTTAAAATATATCATTTATAATTGTTATAATTTCTTTCCTTCCATCATCTGCAATGGCTTTCCAACGGTGCCTTAAGGAGGCAATTTTTATTTTGCTTTCTCTTGGCTGCTTAAATATTTTATACTGAATGGAAGATAGAGGAGGTGTGATCTAGGTAGTTTCAGGAGTGAATGCCATTCCATTTTCCCAGCCAGCACCAGGAGTGAGCTTTCTTGGACAGTTCAGACTTTTTTCTGTGATCTCATTGGGTTTAAACAGGGAAAGTCTGCAGAAAGTTGTGATGCCCTCATGTCTACAGCACCTAAGGGTTTCCCACACTCATCTAGTCCATTCTTGGTTTTGAGCAATGACCATATTTCTTATCTACTCCAGAAATAAGCAAAAAAGAGGGTCTTATTTCTTGAAGGTATTTTCTAATTCAGGTTATTTAATTGCACTGTAACCTCAGTTTTTGTGATGGTTCAAGAAAAATAATTAATGTGCAGTTTGCATAGGTTTATGAGAACTGAAACCAAACTCCTTTTAAAGAGCAGAAATCTGGCCTTTAAAATTATCTTGACAATTTATTTAAGGAAACATGTTAAGAACCTGTCAAAATCATTGACACAATTTTCATGCAAAAATCTTTTGCTGTTCTGATTAGTCTTTTACAACATCACAAAAACAAACTTTCTCCCAATATTAAAATATGCTTATTTAAATCTATTAATTTTCAAGTCAACTGAAAGAATAAAGTTCTAAGACGTGGTTTTTACAATTATTTTTGATTATATTCAATGCTTACATTTAATACAAGACACATGTATAGCATACAACTCAAATTCAAAAACCCTGAATGTTAAAACCTGATTATGAACATTAGAATACATTTAGTTTTGTAGAAATAAAAAGCCTCCACTAAATATGTCTTTTGTGACTTTGATGCATTTACTTTCTTAAATGTTCTTGAAAGTTCATTAATTATAAAAATTGAGATCAACTTATAAGACATCCAATAGAATGTTTTAATTCATGTATCTTCATCTAGTGGGAGCAATATTTTGAGATATTAATTATTCATTTTTATCTATATCATATCATATTGCATTATAGTATATTAGCATTTTTCTTCCCTCAATTCTAGAATTTAGATGATATGATACAAAGCAGAAACTACTTGTGACTCTTCCTAGATTTTGTTTCCAAAAGCCAAAATTTATGTCTAGGAAAATGAGCTTGAGTAGGAAATAATATCTGTAGCTGTTTCCATATCTACACCTATCTGTCAGTCAGCCTTTCTGTCCTTCTGTCTATCACCAGGAACAGGCATAGCAGGGGTAGGTTCAACCCTGGATAGGAATAAGATTCCAGGCATTCCAATCCTTGAGATTTAACTAAGAAACCTAAAATGTATGTCTACAAAATGACATGCATATAAATATTCATAGCAGCTTTATTAGTAATAGCTCTAAATTTGAAACAACCCTAATGGCCTTCAACATTAATAATGAAACAAATTAACAAATAAGCAAATTACAGTATATCTATATAATGGAATGATATGTAGCACTAAATATAGACAGCCACATAGATAAATAGTAAAATAATTGCAGAGTGAAAGAGAGCTAGAAAAGATAATATTGTGCATGAATCCACTTATATAACATTCTAGAAAATACTAACTAATCTACAGTGACAGAAAGCAGATAAGTTGTTGCTTGGAATGGGAGAATATGAATGTGCAGAGGAGGAAGAGGAGATTAAATAGCAGCGTGGGAAAACTCTTGGGAGTGATAGATGCTTATTGTCTTGATTTTAGTGATGTTTTTATGAGTTCATACATATGTCAAAATCACCAATTGTACATTTTAAATATATACACATATTTAAATATATATTTAACACATTATATATACATTATTGGTCATATATGTTTATATATAAGACATACATGGAAAAAAATGTATGTATGATCAAGTATAAAAATACCTGGAAACTGGAGTGGCTGTATTAATATTAGACACTTCAGAATTTAGAGCAAGTAAGTACCTCAGGGATAGAAAGGAACCTTAAATAAGAAAAGAGAGCAATTAAGCAAGAAGATATAGCCATCCTAATTTTATATGGACTTAAAGACAGTCTAAGTACATAAAGCAAAAGCTGGTAGAACTGAATCAGATATTTCAACACCACTATCTCAGAAAATGAAAAAACTCACCTACAGTCCAGAAAACTTTACATATAATAAAAGAAACAGATACGCACTATCAAACTACTTCCTTAATTGATATAGAATACTCCAATAAACAAGATAAAATTGAACTTTCTTTTCAAATGCATGGGGAATATTTATGAAGATGTATAATGTACCAGACCACAAAAAATGTTGATTCATTTAAAGAAATGGAAATATTACAAGGTATTTTCTCTGCACATTCATGTTTATAGCAGCACAATTCCCAATTGCAAAAATATGAAATCAGCCTAAATGCCCATCGATCAACAAGTGGATAAATAAAAATATGTATATATATATATGTATGTATACACACACACACACACACACACACACACACACACACACCATGGAATACTACTCAGCCATAAAAAGGAGCAAAATAATCGCATTTGCCACAACCTGGATGGAATTGGAGAATATTATTCTGTTAAGTGATGTAAGTCAGGAATGGAAAACCAAACATTGTATGTTCTCACACACAAGTGGGAGCTAAGCTATGAGGACTCAGAGGCATAAGAATGATACAATGGGCTTTGGGGACTTGGGGGAAAGGGTGGGAGGAGGGTGAGGGATAAAAGTACAGTGTACACTGCTCAGATGACAGGTGCACCAGACTCTTACAAATCACCACTTAAGAACTTGTTTATTTACAAAAATAAATAAATACATACATACATACATATTAAAAAAGGAAACAACTTGAAATACCTGGAAGTAAATTAAACACAATAGTAAACTCTCCAAAAATTGATCCTCGCTATTTGCAGATTTCGTATTTGCAAATTTGCCTTCTTGCTAAAATTTATTTGGAAATCTCAAATCAATACTGCCAGCATTTGACCGGGCATCTGTTAACATAGAGCTCTGAAAATTTGCATGCACTGCTAGGATGCACACATTCCTAGCTGAGATTGAATAAGGTAATACTCTGTCTTCTGGTTTGGGCTCTTTGAAGAAAGGCTAGATCTGTCTCTGGGGGCATTTGGACAAGGTTTGAATCCCAGCTTTCGCACCTGATTCAACCTGACTGACTCTTTTAAAAAAATAATACAGAAGCAAGATGAATTGTTTTTAGTGTATAAGATTATAATCTAGGTGAGATATGTGACACACACACACCCCATACACTCCAAATATTTCCTCTAGGAGTAATGATTCTGTATTCACTAATTCAGTGTTCACTGTGACTTTAGAAAACATGATGAACATGAATGATGATAATTGGCTCTATTTGTCGGTTAAAACACTTCTAAATAATCCACCAATCAAAAAAGGAATTGCAAAAACATATTTAAATGTATTTTGAACTAAACAAAAATGAAAACATCAAAATTCGTGGGATGCAGCTAAACTAATGCTTAGAGATAAATTTATTAAATCAAATATTTACGTAAGAAAAATAAGATAATTTTCATATTAATGACTCAAACATCCACCTGAAAAAAACTAGAAAGAAAACAGCAAACTAAGTACAATGGAGACAAGGGAAATAATAAACATAAGGGGCAAAATTAATGACACAGAAAACAAAAATGATTAAAGGAAGTCAATAAAATAATATATTGGTTCTTTGAATAAATCAATATAACCAGTAAAATACTAGACAGATTAGTGTAAAAAAAAAGAAAAGAAAAGAACAAGTTAATGTCAGGAAAAAAGAAGGAAGATTGCTACAGATCATGGAGACAGTAAGAGTATTAAAAGGAAATATAATGACTTTATTATGTCAGTAATATTTACATTATCCACACTCCTTTAAAGTTATAAATTATCAAAACTCACTCAAGGAGGAACAGATAATGTGAAGAGCTGTATATCTATTACATTAAGTTTAACTGAATCTCTTTAACCCCTAAAAAGATAGAAAACAAAAGCAAAACTTTAAAAGCCCTGAAAAATCCAGGTCCAATTAGTTTCATTCATGAATTTTGTTAAATATTTAACACTATTTCTGTATTAACTCTTTCAGAAATGCACAATGAGGGAACATTTCCTATGTGATTTATGTAGCCAGCAATACCTGAAACCATAACTGGACACAGACATAATGTAAAATAAATCTACCGACCAATATTATTTGTGAATATAAACTAAAGAAAAGCTTAACCAGATATTAATTAATCAAATCTAGTAATATAGGAAGGATAGTATATTATCTCCAAACATGTTGTCTTAGGAATGCAAGAGTATGTAGACATTTGAAATCAGTTAATTTAATTTCCTGTATGTATTAGGACTAAAGAGTAAAAATCATGATTATCACAACGCATGGAGCAAAAGCCTTTGATGTAGTACAATATCGATTCAGGGACAAAAGTGTTCAGCAAACTCAACACAGAGGAGAACTTAAAGTAGTAACAGTTCACTACCAAAAAATTATAATTAATAATTATGTAGCAAACATCTTAATTCATTATGAAAAAGTGAGTGCCTTTGCCCTACAACTTGGAACAAGAGAGGGATATTTGCTCCCACTACTTCCATTAAACATTGCCCTAGCCAATACAACACGACAATAAAGGAAATAAAAGTTCTTCAGATTGAAAAGAAACAAAACTCTCTTTATTTGCAGAAAGGATGAAAATCTGCATAGAACATACCAAATTACGAACAACAAGAAAAGCTACTAGCACTAAATAAGTGAGTGAGTTTAGCAATGTGGCAAGATACATGGTTAATATGCCTGGGCAAAAGATTTGAACAGACATTCACCAGAAAAATACGGCAAATGATCACATTAAGATATGCTCTAATCATAGTCAATACGGTAACCTAAATTAGAATCATAGTGAGATACTACCAGATTCTTAACACAATGGTTCAAGTTTAAAATGTATAGTACTAACTATTGGTGATAATGTAATATAACTGAAACTGTTGTGAATGCTACTTTGAAAACCAGTTTTTCATTTCCTTATGTAAATAAACATGCTTTTTGCTATATAACCCACTACTTGAATTGCTAGTTATCAGTTAAGAGACAGGAAAACATGTACTGACAAGACTGTGAATGTGCATAGTAACATTATTAATAATATTTCAAATATAGGAATAATATCAACTTTAAGTTTGAATGGATACATGGGAATATATGGATGAGTAAAATAGAATAATCTACTCTGTAAGAGAAAGAATTATTGCTACCTGCAAACTCATGGTTAAATTTCAAAAGCATTTCATTATGTTAGAAAAACCAGACACAAAAAGCTAGGTACGATATTATTCTATTTATATGATATTATGAAAAAGATTTAACTATAGGGTCAAGTATCAAATCAGTCATGGCCATAGGCTATTGCCTGGGATGAGGGAAGTGATAATAAAGGGCATGAGGGGACTTTATTATGACAATAGAATTGTTTTGTATTTTCATTTTTATGATGGTTGTATGACTTCATACACTTGCCATAAGTCATTGAGCAATACAGTTTTAAATACTGTTATTTTATCCAGTTTATACCTCAATAAGTCTGATTTTATTGTTTTGGGAAATGAAAAATTACACTCTATTTCTCCAAGACAAGAAAATAGACTGCACAAGACATATATTATCTAAAGATAGTCTCCCATTTTTATTAAGTAAATGACCTTACATTTATATTTTTTCTATAATTTATTTTCCTTTTAAGGTTTCTTTTATAAAACTTTATTTCTTTCTCACATTTATATTTCTTTCCAAATCGTTTGTGTAGGAACAAAGTTCTTGTCTGTCAATCAAAAAGAAATGGGTTAATTTATAAATTATACAGTTACTAAGATTTAGTCAAAAGTAATTTCTATGCAGTCACAAAAACTAAAATATTAGTTTAAGAATATGAAATTGAAAATATCATGATTCTTAATTGCATAAAATATTTTATACACACAAATACATCTTTTGTTCAGAAATAATTTACTATTATGTTAAAAGATTCATTACAGCAACATAAAGTACATTAAATTATACAAGAAAATTTAAACAAAAATGTAAAGATTTAGGGAATAAGGTTAGTATATCCTTAAATTCTAGTTTTTTATGTAGAGGCCAAAAACTTGCCTCCAAACTTTATAGCAAAGACAAAATTCACACTGTGCATGAGGTGAATATAAATCTGATGTTCTAGAAAAGCACAAATGATATAAATAGACAAGTGTTATTTGCTTTTGCCCCCATAAAGAATATATTCTGAGCAATACTTTAACCACATGTTAAGAATAAAAATAGATTGTTATATCCCTCAACAGAGATTAAGGTACTCACATCAAAGAACATTTTTAAAAAATAATTAGATGAAAAGGAGTGATTCAAAAACCTGATTCTCAGGTAGCCTATCTTAATCCAAGGGAAGTTTGATATCATGCAGAGAAATGAATAAATCTATACCCATTTGGTAATTTTTAATAAATAGATTTTATCTCTGAACGCTTTTTTTTTAACTACTAAATCTTCTGCCCCAAACCCTAGGGATAAAAAATGTTCTTTTTCCTTGTGAGGAGGCTTCTTTCTTCATCTTCCTTTGTCTTTAAAATTGTAAGATCTAGAGGTCCAAAATGGGGTGAAGACCTACAGGAAATGGGTCAAAGAAGCCACTCAACTTGATTTTATTTTCTGCCAGGGATTGGAGATCCAAATTAGTCTCTGTGATTCACATACAGTCACCATTTCAGGCAACTAAATGGAGTTTGGGCCAAAGCTCAGCTTGTGATAAAGTTAATGCATTTGACAGGTGCAGATGCATCTGCCTTCCTCAGGGACATAAAAGGGTGCCTATTGGAAGCAGATGAGTTTTATTTTATTTTATATCCATTATTATTCTTCTAGCAGACATGGCTGAACAAAATAATTTTATCTGCATTAAACTGTAGTTTAATTTCTGGCCAATACTTTGTTTTTCATGAAAACTAATAGCTAAGGTTCTCCCCTCTTTTACTAACAGTTTCACTCATGACTCTTCGACAGGGGTGGCATAGTTATTTTAGTGTTGCTAACATTCAAGGGTTTTTCTTAAAATGAAAGTGAGCTTTTATAAAGCAATTAGCTCATTTCAAAATAAGCCAACTGAATTATTTGATTCTTTCTATCAGGACACTAAAGTGAAAGATTTGAACTCAAAGGTTTTACCCTGAGTGCATTTTGATCATTGCTATTTCCTGAACAATATTCTAAAGCAATACTCATTTCAGTGAGGATATCATGTAACTAAGTCCAGAGAAGATAACTTTCTTTCAGAGCCATCTACCTCAAAATTACATCATCATAACTGCACTCCAAATGGACCTACTCGTCTTTGAAATGTTTTAAAAATAAAGTTTTCCAACACCAGTTCTAATTTTACATAGAAGTCTTTTAAAATAGGGTGAAAAACATGCTACATATTATTTACAGTGAAAAAAGGAGGTGACATAAAAACTAAATAAATTGCACATTTCTTTGTGGTCTAACATTTATCCATGTACCATCTTAACTCCGAGCAGGCAAATTTACTTTTCCCCTCCACTTTAACCTCCAGGCCAAGAACGTCAAATTGAATTAACTTACTATTCAGTAAGATTGTTTATGAAACCGAGCAATTATGGTAAGTTAGTTCATCCTTATTCTTCTCAGTTCTGCATATATAACACTGATTAAGTTAAAACTCCAATTTACATATTACAATCAGTGGTTGACTAAACTGTCATATTTTTCAATTTTGAGGTAACAGTAATTAAGAGAAATGAAAAATTCATCTAAGAGGTGAGCCTAGAAAAGCCTTTATGCAGAAAAATTACATATAATTGTACTCTTCTTAGGAGTAGTGGAGTTGTTGCAGTAATGACAAGAATGGTTGTGCTTTACTCATGATGGATTTGAAAGGGTTTGAAGTACACCACTGGTGAATACTTTCAATCAGTAAATCTTATACAACAAAATACAAATTAGCTATCTACATTTTAATCTTGATAGTTGCTCCTACCTCTAAAACAACCTCCCCCAAAATAAAAAATATTGTAGTTCTGATTATAAATTTAATACATCTGATGCAATAGTATCCTTTGGAATACATCTGTAACAATTTTCTGAACAAGTTTCTCCCTGTTTTGAGTCACAACCTTTTTCCAGCTTTTAATATATTTTTCTTATCAAACAATTACCTATGTTTTGCTATTAAAAACATTGCTCACAAGATATAATATATAATTTACCTTAAATTGGAAATGTTTTATGTTCTATGCACCATGGCACATACTGGGGACTTAGGAATAAGGCATGGTCTCTGTACTAGGAGAACTTGTCATTCAGTAAGAGAGTCAGAGACATAAATAAACACCGACAGTTAAGCATGATAAATGCAAAGCAGGAAAAGCATACAGATATTGCACAGAGAGTGAGTGATTATTACAACTTAAGGGAGTCAGGGAAGACTTCTCAAAGAAAGTGATGTGTGATTTGGGACTTAAGAATGAATAAAATATTCATCAGGTGGATAAAAAGGCATTTTAAATAATGGAACTTAGATATCCAAAGAAATAAAAATAGGAATGTATTATTCTTTTATAAACAAAATTCAACCACTTTTCATAACAGAACCCATGCTAATGTCACTAGTGAGATATTCACACCCTCATTCAGGTTTATTTTATCACTATTCAAAACTCCCCTATCAGCTGTGTTTTATGGTACTTCTCAGGTATTAAGCACTCAGATTCTCCTTCGGGTTACATGGTAGGATTGTACTTTCTCTCCTAATTTAATGGTAGTTCTGAAGAAGTGACTTTATTCGATCAATGCAATATGGGTGGAAGTAGTGTCTGCTATATTAGGTAAATGCTTTAAGATCTGATGTATTATTTGACACATTTTATTCCATCTGTCATGGTGACCACGAATACTCACATTGAGAATGAGCCTTTATGAGCCTGCATTCTTGAGTGACAATAAGCAGATTCCAACCTGCTCCTTGATGGACATTTAATGTAAAGGAATAATAAATATTTAGTCTCATGTATCAATAAGATATTGAGTTGTTTGCTACCATAGCATAGTCCAGCCCATCCTGACTGCTGATGGTTTTAAACATTTGAATATTAATCCTTTGGTATCAAAATGGAGTGGTTAAATGAGAGAGACGTTGCCTCTATACATAAAATGTATATTATTGTATAGTATATCTAAGTATTATAGTGATTTTCCTTAGAACCAGCACTGCACAGCTTATACACATATTCCTGCACATACATAGCCATAATTATTCCCCCAGCTTTAAAGTGTTCTCCTAACACTCTAAACTTTGTTCTCATAGCATTTATCAACTTACAATTGTGAAATTACTGCTGTGATTATTTCATTACTGTTGCCGCCTCCATATATTGTGATTTCCTAGTAGATAGTGCCATCTCCATACACCGCAGTGAAGAGCAAAGACATTGAATCAGAGTGAATATTTAATAAGTAAGTGAAGGTTAAAAATTAAATGAACTGATATGTGAGCATATAAATCTATGGTAAATTGAGAGCACTAAATGCATATTTATTAATTTGACTACCCCTTAAAGGCTTAGATAAGGAGAAAAGATAACTAGTACAAGTTTTTGTAAGTAGGTTTTACTAACCAGGATTTAAAATAATAAACAAAATCTAAAATCATTGACCTAAGAGCTAAGGGATTATTTACAATGATTTAATGCTTTTTCGGTTTTTTTTTGCATTTTATAGCTTAGAAAACTGAAATCTAGACAGACTTGTGATTTACCAGTAGTGACACAGTGGGTCAATGGCATTGCTTTCAATTTCGTGATAATAATGATGCTTTTCCTTCTTAGAATGATGTTTCCACAAATTAATAAAGACTCAAAATGAATAGCTGCCATTTGACAGCTGCATCATCTTGAAAAAATATTTCAACCTTTGGGACTTTGGTGTTCTCATCTCTAAAAAATGAATATCAATATTATCTACCACAATGGTTTGTTATGAGGACTAAAAAAGTTAATGCATGCTTAATACATAAGAAGAATTTCTGCATACTATATATGTATGTATATGTATATGTACATATCTATACACAAACTATAACTTTTCACACATACGTTTGGTATGATGATGATGGTGATAAATACATATGTCACAAATTGTGGAATCTTTAAAAGTTTCAGAACTTTAATCTTTCTTAATGTATACTTTAAGTCTTTGAAAATAGCCATGAAATTAGATAAAATTTCTAAGACTAAGGAATTTTATGATACAGGATGAGAAAATTACAAGCATGTTTAAAAGGACATGAAGATCAACAATTTGTCAAAATAGTAAGCCAGATAACTACTAAGTTTAGAAAGAAAGTATATTAATAAAATTTAAATGCTAAAAAACAAATATTAGGCTTCATAACCAATGTAATTAAACATTTTTAGAAAAGGTTAACTAAAATATCCAGTTATACAGAGATCAACTGTTTTAACTATTTTGTTTGTTATGTGGACTTCAATCTCAAGGTTTCCAAGGGGCTTGCCTAAGGTTGCATAGTGTCTGAGGGGTGATAATTCTGAATCTGCACTCCCCCATCCTTGGTCTAATTACAAGAGATTTATATTAGTATGTATTTTACAGTATTTGTAATACAGGCTTATTAATTCAGACTTCCACCAGAAAATGAATGTGTGGTATTCTTGCAGATGATCATCTACCCCCACTAGGTCAGATTTTTCCCATTTATTTTAGAGTCCATTTTTATTCCATACATTCACCTTTCTCAGACCATTGTTTATGCCACAATCAATCTAGGTTATAATTAAAATCTATCATAAGATTCTAAAAAAACTTTAAGGTTACTGTTAGAAAGGTTGCAGATAACTTGAAAAAATGTAGATACTAAAGATGGTTTATGCCCCAGTGAGATAAATTATTGCATCCATGCAGATGAGTGACTATGCATGTTAATATCTAACCCACCTAGGCAGAACAAAGTTGGTTAAAGTAGAATCCTGTAAAGGAAACTACTTTCTGCTAATTCTATATAAAAATAAACATTGAGAGCCTTTTAAGTCAGGACTTTATGAAAGTTTGTAAAGGAATTGTTGAGAATTATTGAATACATATGCTTCAATAAGAGCATTGTGTATAATATATATGTATATGTACACACATGAACACACATGAATATATACTTTATGTATATATTAGGTATCTCTATGCATATGTACCACATATATATGCTATGCAACTTTCTATTTTTGTATGCAAGTATGTGTATATATGTGTATGTATATCCTATTGTAGTTAATTTTGGCATACTACATAAAACTATAGTGTTGAAATTGCGAAAAGATAGAATTCTAATATGTAAATGTAATATTCTTTATAAAGAAGGCACTAGTAAAACAAAGAAAGCTTACAAAAATAAACCAACCCTTAACATTGTCTTAAAGTATAGTCTCTGTTCTTAGTACTTTCTGTTTCCTTGTAGTCCCTTATGATTATTCTTGCAAGCCTGTTTTTTACCATAGGATTCTTAGAAATCATAATCCTTGTATAAGGAAAATTATTTCTTTTGCAGAAAATTTTAAGCCTTTGTACATGACCTTAACTTTCACTTGAAACAGACATTTTTCAACATTTTGACTGAAGAATCTTTATGTCTCGCTAAACAGTATTGCACAAGGATTCTCAAATCCAACTACTGCTTGCATACTAGTTCTGAAGAGTCCCTAGGGTCTCAAAAATTTAAGACAATGTATGGCCAATGTTCTTAAAACTAGACCCTTGTGATAACCACAAATTAGAGGTGGGATGTCAGCATTCATTTTTCACACCTGAAGGTATTGAACCAAGCAGTGTTATCTTTGTGTAATTTGATATTGTCTCTTTCCCAGCTAACTTTTGGAGTGAAATGTTCAATGCTTGAGAAAATATAAAAGCTGTTTTCAATTTAAAAGTTTCTAATTATCAGAATTTTTGTTTAAAAATATATTCACTATGGTTTGACTTAAGAACCTTGATTGGAATTAATATTTACAGGTAACAGCATTTTTAACATCTGTATCTTTAAACACAGCATTTTAGTTTTCCAAAAATAACATGTAATAAAATAAAGTTAGAATGCCCATTACATGTTTTAAAATTGGCATAATTCAAGATTAATGCATCCAAAGGGGAAGATAAACTTAGGGCAATGCATTTTTGGAGATTATAAATCTATAATGAATACAGTTGACTGTATTCTATAATACTGTTCTTTAATTTTTCATCATCATTAGTAGTATATTATTGAAAGGCCCTTTGTAAATAATCTATATACCTTATTGTAGTTATGAGGTTTTTGAATAAGTAATGTTCAAATATTTTTTGCCTTTTAGGTGCATTTTTTTTTTCCTTTACCTCTAGCGGCATTGACACCATCATCACATAATGAGTGCTTGGATAACATTCATTTGCCTCTGTCTTGGTTCCCTTGTTTTTCTGTCCTATTTTTTGTATACTAATAATAGAATCTGCTGAAATAATGAGGTGACAGCTCCTTTGAAAAGTATATATATATATATATATATATGTGTGTGTGTGTATATATATATATATATATATATATATAAAAAGCAGTGTTCCCTTATTCCATTTTATGCTGCTATAACAACATATCAAAAGGTGGGAAATTCATAAAGAACATAAATGTATTCTCTCACAGTTTTGGAAGCTTAGAGTTTCAAAATAAAGGCTATTGCACATTTGTTGTCTGGTGAGGGCTGTTCACTAATTCCAAGATGGTGTATTCGTCCATTTTCACACTGCTGATAAAGACCTAATCGAGACTGGGCAATTTACAAAAGAAAGAGGTTTAATGGACTTATAGTTCCATGTGGCTGGGGGACCTCACAATCATGGCAGAAGACAACGAGAAACAAGTCTATAGAAAGCTTCTATTGACTTGAACCCCATTAAATAATTTTAATGGCACAAAGGTGTCATTCGCCCCTTTTGAGGTGTTCTGTTTTCTTGTGGAGTTTCAAGAGTCATAGGCAAATTCTTCTTAGGTGTAAAGCTCTGTTTTCCTGTTTTGCATTACCTGACCTTTTTGGCTGTGGAGGTACCAGAGATTACCTTGTACTGTGAGAGGATTTGACCTTGGCATGTGTAATGGCAGACAAGAGCTACAAAGTAGGGGTGACTGAGCACAGTTTACAAGAAGTAGTCTTGGCTGTTTTATTATTATTATTAGTATTCCTCTCCTAAGAAGTTGTTTAAGGATCCTAATTCTAATTCAGAGATGCATTCTAAGGGGTATTCAGTATTGCTTTTTCTCTCAAAATTAATCTCAATTTGGGTTGTCTGTGAACATTTGCATGAGGAACTGAATGAACTGTTGTTTTCATAGGTAAAAGACTGAGTTTTCTCAGCTCCAGAGAGAAAGGACATTTGCTCCTCCCAGCTGAAAGGTGCCCCTGAGTGACTGGGGGCCTCATGGGAGTGTCTGCAAGGTTGATCCCCCACAACGAGCAGTGGCCCCACAGGGAAATTTCCAACAAAAATTATTTTTTAAAAAAGGCTCATCCCGGAAATGCATAGAAGGGCTGATCACCCAGCGTTTTGGGCCCTCTCAGAGGTCATAGACCTTTGAAGAGATAAACTGAGACACGTAAGAGGACAGATGATACAACACAGTGGTGACACACTGTGGAGTCTTGCTCACAAGCAGCACGCATCAATCCACCACATAAAAACCCTAGGCAACAGCTCAGTTTCTCCTTTTAAGAAAAAAAGTGGGAAACAAGTAATATTGGTATAAGGAGAAAACAAGGAGAATTACCTTTTCAAGGACCTGTTAGATTTTACGACACCTCTACTCACCAGAGTTTATGTAAAATGGAAGTAATGTGGTCTTTATGCACATTTACATCAAGGAAAAAGAGCCCTAAGGTCGACCTGCAAACTATAGCGTTTCTAAGTTTTCTTTTTCTCTATTGTTCTTTTCTGCCTGCTTTAAATCCGCTGTTTGGATCCAACAGGTTCTTTTTACAAGCCAGTGAATTTGTATATATCTCATGGTTAAAGTTCTGAAATAAAAGCTATAGGATCTTTGTGTGTGTGTGTGTGTGTGTGTGTGTGTGTGTGTGTGCGCGCGTATTTAAAAGGCCTTTATAATTTCTATAATTTAATGTTTAATTGGCAATTAAATCCATTTTAATTCCTTTCTAGCACACTAGACATTTTTTCTCTGTACCTTATGATGTAAATTTTGCTATTTGATTTTCACCTAAGTTGTTTCCTTTAATATGCAAATTTAAGTCTATTTAGCTGACAATTGCGTAGGGTAGTAAAACAGGTTATCAAAAATTTGAAAGTGTAAGGTAGGAAAAAAAGGTTTTTATGAATCTATAAGATATATTTTTATCATCATACCTAATATGTCTGTGTATCTATGTGTTGTGTACAGAATGTTTCACTACTGAAAATATATAAAAGAGCTCCAACTAATTGGCTTAAGAAAATAAAAGTACTTGAATCAAATACTTCATCAGGAAGAAGGAAAAGACTAATCAAATGCTCTTTCAAGTTTATGTAAATTAAGTAAAATCTTTAATAAGCTAGCTTTAAAATTATTGGTTAACTAATATTAGAAATGTCTTAAAACTGCCAGCATTCATTTTAGTTTCCATTTATTAATCAAGCAATTTCATACTTGTCCCTGCCAAATACTATAAGGTATCAAAATGTGGCATAGGGGTTACAAAACCATAAACCCATCCCAAAACAGAATGATCTTTGCTTATGTAATCTTTAATAAATAAGACATTGATATTGGTTTAATAAAAATGCTACATCTTGAATTTAATAAGGTTACCATAACTTCCAACCTTGTGGCTTTAGATAGTCTAGTCCACAGGCTATAAGATTTGTTTTGGAAAGGGACTCTTATCATCTTTGATTTAAAGGTAAACTATAAACTAAGTTCCTCCCAATTAGCTCAGAATATGCCCAGGAATGAACAAGGACGGCTTGGAGGTTAGAAGAGAGATGAAATCATTTAGGTCAGATCTTTTTCACTGTCTGTTATAATTTTGCCACGATGGTTCTATAACTTTAAACTACAACTGTATTAGTCTGTTTTCATGCTGCTGATAAAGACATACCCAAGACTGGGCAATTTACAAAAGAAGGAGGTTTAATTGGACTTACAGTTCCATGTGGCTGGGGAAGCCTCACAATCATGGTGGAAGGCAAGGAGGAGCAAGTCACGTCTTACATGGATGGCATCAGGCAAAGAGAGAGCCTGTGCAGAACCACCCCCCCTTATAATAACCATCAGATCTCATGAGACTTACTATCACAAGAACAGCACAGAAAGGTCCACCCCCATGATTCAATTACCTTCCACTGGGTTGCTCCCACAACACATGAGAATTTAAGATGAGGTATGGATGAGGACACAGCCAAACCATATCATTCCACCCCTAGCCCCTCCCAAATCTCATGTCCTCACATTTCAAAACCAATCACGCCTTCCCATCAGTCACCCAAAGTCTTAACTTATTTCAGCATTAACTCAAAATTCCACAGTCCCAATCTCATCTGAGACAAGGCTAGTCCCTTCTGCCTATGAGCCTGTAAAATCAAAAGCAAAAATTAGTTACTTCCTAGATACAATGGGGGTACAGGCATTGGGTAAATACAGCCATTCCAAATGGGAGAAATTGGACAAAACAAAGGAGCTACAGGCCCCATGCAAGTCTGAATTCCAGCAGGTCAGTCAAATCTTAAAGCTTCAAAATAATCTCCTTGGACTCCTTGTCTGACATGCAGGTCATTCTGATGCAAAAGGTGGGTTCCCATGGTCTTGGGCAGCTCTGCCCCTGTGGCTTTGCAGGGTACAGCCTCTTTCTCAGCTGCTTTCACAGGCTGGTTTTTGTGTCTGTGGCTTTTCCAGGAACAGGGTGCAAGCTGTTGGTGGATCTATCATTCTGGGGTCTGGAGACCAGTGGCCCTCTTCTCATATCTCCACTAGGCAATACCCCAGTAGGGACTCTGTATGGGGGCTTTCACCCCACACTTCTCTTCTGCATGCCCTAGCAGAGGTTTTCCATTAGTGCCCCAACACTGGAGCAAACTTCTGTCTGGGCATCCAGTCATTTCCATACATCTGAAATCTTGGCAGAGGCTCCCAAACCACAGTTCTAGACTTCTGTGCACTCGTAGGTTCAACAACACATGGAGGCTGCCAAGGCTTGAAGCTTGCACTCTCTCAAGCTACAGACCAAAATCTACATTGGCCTCTTTCAACCAGGGCTGTGGTGGCTGGAATGCAGGTTCCAAGTCCCTAGACTGTACATAGCACAGGGACCTTGCACCCAGCCCAGGAAACCACTTTTTTCTTCTAGGCCTCTGGGTCTGTGATGAGGGGGGCTGCAATGAAGACCTCTGACATGCCCTGGAGACATTTTCCCCATTGTCTTGGGGATTAACATTTGGCTCCTCATTACTTATGCAAATTTAGGCAGCTGGCTTGAATTTCTCCTCAGAAAAATTGGATTTTCTTTTCTGTCATATTGTCAGGCTGTAAATTTTCCAAACGTTTATGCTCTGTTTCCCTTTTAAAACGGAATGCCTTTAACAGTGCCCAAGTTACCTCTTGAATGCTTTGCTGCTTAGAAATTTCTTCTTCCAGACACCCTAAATTATCTCTCTCAAGTTCAAAATTCCACAAATCTCTAGGGCAGGGACAAAATGCCACCAGTCTCTTCATTGAAACATGACAAGAGTCACCTTACTCCAGTTCCCAACAAGTTCCTCATTTCCATCTGAGACCACTTCTGATTGGATTTCATTGTCCATATCATTATCAGAATTTTGGTCAAAGCCATTCAGCAAATCTCTAGGGAGTTCCAGACTCTCCCACATTTGAGGGGTTCCTCTGAGCCTTCAAAATTGTTCCAACCTTTGCCTGTTACCCAGTTACAAAGTAGCTTCCACATTTTCAGGTATCTTTTCAGCAGCCTTCCACTCCACTGGTAACAAGTAACTGTATTAATCTGTTTTCATAATGCTGATAAAGACATACCCAAAACTGGGCACTTTACAAAAGAATGAGTTTTAATTGTTCTTACAGTTCCACATGGATGGGGAAGCATCACAATCATGGCAGAAGGCAACGAGGAGCAAGTCACATCTTACATGGATGGCAGCAGGCAATAAGACAGCTTGTGCAGGAAAACTCCCCCTTGTAATAACCATCAGATCTCATGAGATTTACTCACTATCATGAGAACCACATGGAAAAGACCCATCCACATGTTTCAATTACCTTCCACTTGGTCCCTCCCACAACAAGTGGGAATTCAAGATGAGATTTGGATAGGGACACAGCCAAACCATATCAATGACTCTTGCAGTTTTCATAAATCATCTATATAAACAGTTAAATAATTAGGTAAATGTAATGGGATTAATACATGTTAATAATAATAAATTCTAAATCAGAATTTAGAATCTATTGTTATATTAAATAATAAATATTTCATTATTAGTTTTTTTCCAATAAGAAGGTATTTGTAGGAAAACGTCTTTTCTATTAAAACCCCTGTGTCCTTTTTAAAAAGGTGAATAATTTGTCTAATTTAAAGCTTATCTAAAGGTTATGTATAAAACAAGGTAAAAGGAACCAGGAAATAAGAGAGATGTAAAGAAAGTTATAAAAATAAAGAGGTTTCTTTATTTGGTAAGAAAGCTTAAAGATAACTAATTTTATATGAGAAATAATCTTGTATGGTAGATTTAGTCCCAGAATAAAATGACTGATTGTTTAAGAAAGACGGATGTTCAGGATGAACCAGAGAGTCCAAGCATGTCATAAATGGTCTAAGTCACAATAAAAGGATTTATTAAAAAAAAACTTTTATATGATCAAGTTGTCTATTAAAGAGAAATTATAATGGTCTTTCTAGAGATTGGGCTTGATGTAAAAAAATGAAAACACTTATACATTAAATATTTGGTTAAAATGATGAAATTTTTAAGGGATTGATTTATTATTAATAAATTATAAAATTTTAATTTTTTAAACCAAAAATTCAACTTTTATTGCATCTGGCCATTTTCAATTTTCCCTCTCCTATTAAAAGGGTGTGAAATAGTAATGCTCTCCTTCAACTCATTTTCAGGTCAAATAAGTTTTTCTTCCTCGAGTTTCTTTGTTGTGGCTTGATGCTAACAATGTTTTTTTAAATGTTTAAAGGAAACATTTTATTCAAACATAATATTCTGTGCAGTGCAAAGCATCTTTACTTTTGCCTTTTAGTAACTGGCCTAACGATTTTATATTTTATTGAAGCAATTCCTATGCCATTATCAGTAAGTTTTGGTTTGCTTAGGAAAAATACTGTGATTTTAAAAAAATTAAATTAAGGTTATTACATCCACTTATCTTTCTGCATGTGCTCTTAAAGTAATTGTGACATTGAGTTACAGGGCTCTGACTCTTGGGTTTAAGAAGGACACCAAGTCCTGCTAAATCTTAAACACTGACAGCAATTAAAGCCTCATCTTCAGGCCTGGTAGAAGATGTCAATCAAACTAAACTGCATTCTTGGGACATACACAGGACCAGAAATTAAAACTATACAACTCCTCAAGGCCCAGGTACTAACGTGGGAGAGGTGTGCATATGAGATTGTAAGGGCCAATTCTGAGAGATAAAGTTTCAGTTTCTCTATAAATTAATCATTAATGTCAAAGGCACACTAATGCAAGAACAGCATATGCCACATCATTATTAGAGGGAAGCTTCAGGTCAATAGTCAAAAGAGCCAGAATGGTAGCACAGAAAGAAGAGAATTCAGCTTTGAGCTACTAATTTAGTATGCCCCAATAGCATCATGTCTTTGGATATCTTGTAATATGGGGTAACAAATACCCTCTTTTACTTATAATATTTTATCTTACACATTGAATCAATTACAGTTAAAGCATAAAGCATTCTAATATATTTATCTATACATATAGGTTTCCCAAATGATATATAGATATTTTTAATAAAGGCAGATAATTTTAATATGAATATGAACATGTAAAATAGTTGATAAAATTCTCAAAATTAAGGTTAATTAGGTAGCAATGAATACCAATACACAATTTTTAAAAAGTTTGTAAGAAGCTAACACAACATTTTTCTTTTAAGCTTTCATTTTAAATACAGGGAATATATATAATACATGTATACCTGTGTATATATGTATGTATACACAGGTATACATGTATATATGTGTATACATACACACATGTATATGTATACATGTGTATATATACATATATGTGTATATATGTATACATGTGTATATACATGTGTGTATATATGTATACATGTGTATATATGTATACATACATATACATATATACATACACATATGTATATATATGTGTGTATATATATAGACTGACAGCTTTTCCACCTCCCTTGCCACTCTAGTAGTCCACATTGTCTATTATCATCATCTTAATGTTCATGTGTACTCAATGTTGAGTTCCCACTTATAAGTGAGAACATGTAGTATTGGGTTTTCTGTTTCTGTATTAATTCACTTAGGATTATGGCCTCCAGCTGCATCTATGTTGCTGCAAAGGACATAATTTCAACATTTTTTATAGCTTCATAGTATTCCATGTTATGTATGTACTGCATTTTCTTTATTCAACCCAGCATTGATGAGCACCTAGGTTGATTCCATGTCTTTGCTATTGTGAATATCACTAAAATGAACATACAAGTGCATGTGTCTTTTTGGTATAACAATTTATTTCCTTTGGGTACATACCCAGTAATATGATTTGCTGGGTTGAACTGCAGCTCTGTTTTAAGTTCTTTGAGAAATCTCCAAACTAGTTTTCACAGTGGGTGAAATGATTTACATTTCCACCAACCCAACAATGTATAAGCATTCCCTTTTCTCTGCAGCATCACCAGCATCTGTTATTATTTAATTTTTTTTATAACAAACACTCTGACTGGCATGAGATGGAATCTCATTTGGTTTTGATTTGCATTTCTCTTATAATTAGTGATAATGAGAATATTTTTATATCTTTGTTAGCTGATTGTATGTCTTCTTTTGAGAAGTGTCTGTTCATGCCCTTTGCCCACTTTTTAATGGGGTAAAGTTTTCTTTTCAAATGTTCAAGTTTCTCATAGATGCTGGATATTATAACTTTTTTGGATACATAGTTTACAAGTATTTTCTCCCATTGGGTAGATTGTCTGTTTATTCTGTTGATAGTTTCTAGTTTAATGAAGTCCTACTTATCAATTTTTCTTTCTGCTGCAATTGCTTTTGGAGTCCTGGACAAAAATTCACTGCCAAAGCCAATATCAAGAAGTGTCCTTTTGTAAATTTTCTTTCAGGATGTTTATACTGTAAGGTTTTACATTAAATCTTTAATGCATCTTGAGCTAATTTTTGTATATGATGAAACATTGGAGTCTAGTTTCATTCTTTTGCATATTCCAGTTTTCCTAGCAGCAATTATTGAATAAATCGTCCTTTCTCCACTGCTTGTTTTTGTCAGCTTTGTCAAAGATCAGATGGGTATACGTGTGTGGCTTTATTTCTGGGTTATCTCTTCTGTACCACTGGTCTATGTTTCTGTTTTTGTACCTGTTCCATGCTACCATGCTGTTTTGTTTACTGCAGACCTGCAATATAGTTTGAAGTCAGGTAAACATGGCTCTTTTGGTTTTGCTTCCTTTGCTTAGGATTGCTTTGGCTACTCAGGATCTTTTTTGATTCTATATGAATTTAAAAATAGTTTTTCTAGTTCTGTGAAAAAATAATATTGGTAGTTGGATAGGAAAACATTGAATCAGCAAATTACTTTCTGCAGCATAGCCATTTTAATGATATTGGTTGATCTAATTTATGAACTTGGAATGTTTTTCCATTTATTTGTAACACTTCTACTTTATTTCAGCAGTGTTTTATGGTTATCATGATAGAATGATAGGAAAACATTGGATCAGCAAATTACTTTGTGCAGTATAGCCATTTTAATGATATTGGTTGATCCAATCTATGGGCTTGGAATGTTTTTCCATTTATTTGTATCACTTCCACTTTATTTCAGCAGTGTTTTATGGTTTCATGGCAGAGATCTTTCACTTCCTTAGCTGTATTCCTAGATATTCCTCTTTTTTTGT
This sequence comes from Homo sapiens, assembly GCF_000001405.40. Lineage (NCBI taxonomy): Eukaryota > Metazoa > Chordata > Mammalia > Primates > Hominidae > Homo > Homo sapiens. The sequence goes on from NW_015148967.1 coordinate 235,378, forward strand.
GACTAATGTAAATGATAGTGTGCTCTTAATTTGACTCTTAGCTTGGACATCATTGATGCTTTTGATTTTTTTTACATTGATTTTGAATCCTGAAAATTTACTAAAGTCATTTATCAGTTCTAGGAGCCATTTGGTAGAATCTTTAGGGTTTTCTAGGTATAGAATGATATCATCAGTGAAGAGACATAATTTGACATCTCCTATTTGGATGCTTTATATTTTTTTCTCTTGCATTATTGCTCCAGCTAGGACTTTCAGTACTATGTTAAATAGGAGTGGTGAATGGGCATTCTTGTCTTGTTCCAGTTCTTAAGCAGCATGTTTGCTGTTTTTGCGGTATCAGTGTGATATTGGGTGTATATTTCTCTTACATGGATTTTATTATTTTCAGTACGTTGCTTCAACGCCTTCTCTGTTGAGGGTTTTTATCATAAAGGGATGTTGGATCTTACCCAAAGCTTTTTCTGTGTTTATTGATATAATTTTGTACTTTGCTTTTAATTCTGTTTATGTGGTGAATCACATTGATTGATTTGCATATGTTGAACAAAGTTTGCCTCCAAAGAATAAAGCCTATGAGATCGTGGTGTATTAATTTTTTGATGTGCTGCTGGTTTCAGTTTGCTAGCATTTTCTTGAGGATTATTCTGTCTTGCTCATCAAGGATATTGACCTCCAGTGCCTGTTTTGTTGATGTGTCTCTGCCAGATTTTGGTATTATGCTGATGGTGGCTTTGTAGAATGAGTTTGGGAGGATTTCCTCCCCCTCAAGTTTTTGGAATAGTTTCAGTAAAATTGGTATCAATTCTTTTTTGTATGTCTAGTAGAATTCTACTGTGAATCCATCTGATCCAGGACATTTTTTTGGTTGGTAGGCTTTTTATTACTGATTCAATTTCAGACCCTGTTGTTTGTTTGTTCCAGTTTTCATTTTCTTCCTGGTTCATTCTTGGGAGCTGTGTATTTCCCGAAATTATCCATTTCCTCCAGTTTTTCTAATTTGTGTGCATAAAGTTGTTCATAATAGTCTCTGAGGAACTTGTCTATTTTTGTGGGCTTAGTTGTAATGTCACCTTTGTCATTTCTGATTGTATTTTTTGGATCTTCTCTTTTTTGTTTTTAATCTAACTAGTGGTTTATTAACCTTATTATCTGAAATAACTAATTATTGGTTGATTGATCTTTTGTATAGATATTTTACACCTTAATTTCATTCATTTTTTTCTAATATTAGTTATTTCTTTTATTTCTGCTAGCTTTACAACTATTTTGCTCTTCTCTTTTTTCATTTTCTCTAAGTGCAACATTATATTGCTAATTGAAATCATTCTAACTTCTTTATGAAGGAGTTTAGCACTATAAACTACTTTTGCTGCATCTCAAAAGTTTTGGTAGGTTATGTCTCTATTTTCATTAATTTCTTTTTTTTTTTTTTTGAGACAGTCTCACTCTGTCATCCAGACTGCAATGCACTGTTGTGATCTCGCTTACTGCAACCTCCACCTCCTAAGCTCAAGTGATTCTCGTGCCTCAGTTTCCTGAGTAGTTGGGACTATAGGCACAGGTTACTATGCCCAGCTAATTTTTGTATTTTTACTAGATATGAGGTTTTGTCATATTGGCCAGGCTGCTCTCAATCTCCTGAACTCAAGTGATCAGTCTGTTGCATGCTCCTAAAGTGCTGGGATTAAAGGCATGAGCCACCATGCCCAGCTCAAATAATTTTTTGATGTCTGCCTTAATTTTGTTGTTTACCCAGGAATTATTCAGGAGCAAGCTCTGTAGTTTCATATATCTGTGTAGTTTTGAGAGATCTTCTTGATGTTGATTTCTATTTTTAATGCACTGTTGTCCAAGAGTGTGGTGGGTAGTATTTCTACTTTTTTTTGAATTTATTGAGACTTACCTTATTATTGAGCCTATAATGCATCTTAGATTATGTTCCACGTGCAGATGAGAAGATTGTATATTCTGTAGATGTCTGTAGATTGAATATGCTGTAGATGTCTATTAAACCCAATTTGTCAAGTGTCAAGTTTATGTGCAAAATTTCTTTGTTAGTTTTCTACGTCAGTGGTCTATCTAATGCTTTCAGTGGGGGGGTTAAAATCTCCTGCTATTGGGTGCCTGTAATCCCAGCTACACAGGAGGCTGAGACAGGAGAATCATTTGAACCCAGGAGATGGACGTTGCAGTGAGCCGAGATCATGCCATTGCACTCCAGCCTGGGCAAAAGAGCAAGATTCAATCTAAAAAGAAAAAAAACAAAAACAAAAACAAAACTCCCGCTATTATTGTGTGGCTAAGTGTGTTTTGAAGGTCAACAAGGACTTGTTTATAAATATGGGTGCTCCAATGATGGGTGTGTATATATTCAGGATAGCTAAATTTTCTTGTTGAATTGAACCCTTTATTATAATGTAGTGCCCATCTTTGTAGTTCTTGATTTTCGTTGGTTTAAAGTCTTTTATCTGATATAAGAAAAACAGTTACTGATTCCTTTTATTTTTCTGCTTATGTGTTAGACCTTTCTCCATCCCTTTACTCTGAGCCTGTGGGTGTCATTACATATGAGATGGGTTTCTTGAAGACAGTAGACAGTTTGATTTTTTTTTTCCAACTTGCCACTCTGTGCCTTTTAATGATGTGTTTAGAATATTTATATTCAGTGTTAGTATTGATATATGAAAATTTGATGCTGTCATTGTGTTGTTAGCTGGTTGTTTTGTATACTTGATCATGCAGTTTCTTTATAGGGTTGGTGGGGTATCTGCTTTATTTCATTTCTCTGGTAGCAGGTGTCATTCATTCTTTTCCATGTTTACTACTCCCTTAAGAACCTCTTGTAAAGCTTGTCTAGTTGTAACAAATACCATCAGCATTTGCTTCTCTGAACAGGATTTTATTTCTCCTTCACTTATGAAGCTTAGTGATATGGTTTGTCCCCACCCAAATCTCATCTCAAATTGTAGTTCCCACAATCCCCATGTGTTGTGTAAGGGACCCAGTGGGAGGTTACTGAATCATGGAGGTGGTTACCCCCACACTGCTGTTCTCATGATACTGTGTTCCTATGAGATCTGATGGTTTTATAAGGGTTATAAGGGGCTTTTATCTCTTTGCCGGGCACTTCTCTTCCTGCCACCATGTCAAGAATGATGTGTTTGCTTCCCCTGCTGCCATGATTGTAAGTTTCCTGAGGCCTTCCCAGCCATGCTGAACTATAGGTCAATTAAACCTCTTTTCTTTATAAATTACTCAGTCTCAGATATGCCCTTATTAGCAGTGTGAGAATGGGCTAATACACTTAGTTTGAAAGGAAGTGAAATTGTTGATTGGAATTTCTTTTAATTATGCTGAAAATAGGCCTCCAATCTCTCCCAGCTTGTAATATTTCTGCTGAGAGGTTCACTGCCAGCCTGAGCAGGGTCCCTTTGAATGTGGTCTGATGGTTCTCTCTAGCTGAATTTAATAAATTTTTTTTCTTTTACATTGGCCTTGGTGAATCTGATGACTCTGCGCCTTGGTGATTATCATCTTGTAGCGTATCTAGACAGGGTTCTCTGTATTTCTTAAATTTGCTTGTCAACCTCTAGAGAGATTAGGAAAATTTTATGGAGTATATCATGATATATAATTTCCAAGTTGTTTATTTTGTCTCCTCTCAGGAATACCAATTAAATGTAAGTGCGGTGTCTTTACATAATCCTATAGTTTCAGAAGTTTTGTTCATTTCATAATTATTTTTTATCTGACTGAGTTGATTCAAAGAACCAGCCTTTGAACTCTAATATTCTTTCCTCAGCTTGGTCTCTTCTGTTAGAATTAACATAATCTTTAAGTGTGAGACTGATGAATGAGTACACATGTCTTAAAACCAGAATACATATTTTAGAAATGAACTCAATACACATGAAAATTTAGTATATAATAAACATGGCATAATACATTTTGAAGAAAACATATTATTTAGTCAATGGTGATGAGAACAATTTCTATAAAAATAAATTTTGTATAGTCAATGATTAAAAGTAAAATAAGTAAATATAAAAAGTAAAATATAAACACATAAGAAAACAAACAAAACTTTTAATAAGCCGTATAGGAAGGAGCAGAATAAATAGAATGTTATATGCTATTTGAACAAACTAGTAAAACAATTACTGGTTAAAATATCTAAAAGATTAAAATAATACATGGAATATTACAAAGTAACATGTAGTTGTTAAATGGAGATTAAAAACATCCTGTCTTTTGTTAGTGTAAATGTAATTAGTACAATTTGGAATGCCATTTAGCCACATCTATCAAAATTTTAAATGTCTACACCTGTTCAATCAGCTCTTTGACTTCCAGGAATTTTTCTTTCAAATACATTTGCAAGTGTGCTTAATGATAAAATGAATAAACAATGTTGTGTTGAGATGTCACCACCTACCACATAACCTAAAAAGATGTTTTGTTATATTAGAGAAACAAGACCTAGTTAATAGTAGGGGGATATTGGTGGCCATAGCCAACAAGAAGCCATCAAATTTGTGTCAGACAAAAAAGAGAAAAAATAAATAGAACTTTCTGTTAAAATAATAGAAAAAAGTTACGAAGTCTTACTAATAATCCCATGAGTTTGAAGGGCATATCAGGACAAACACAGGAAAGATTTTTCTTTTTTTCTTTATTATCTTTGATTTCCACACCTTTTAATTTCTATGCTGAAATCTGTAGACAGAAAAGCTACTGAAAGTGGCTGCTTATATTTTGGGAAGAAAATTTAGTTTTAACTTTAATTTGATGTGATGTCTGTGTGCATGTGTGTGTGTGTGTGTGTGTGTTGTGGGGCAGTGGGGGGGTCAAAGAACTATAGATTGAGATTCTCCCAAGAAGTCAGAAGTCTATCACAAATATAATAAAGGTACTTGTATGAAAAAAATGAACGGAAAAATGTTTATGTTTCTCTGTGCCAAAGAGAAAAAGTTTAGAAGCAAACATTTAAGCTTTTCCTTGTCCTCACATTCTACTTTCATTTGTCTTTGTTACTAAAAGTCTAAAGAAGGGAGTCTTTTAAAATTCTGTTATCTAGCCTCAGCCCCCAGATGAGTATTTTTGCCTGAATATCGATTGAACACTGGTATAGCAATCTTGTTTGAAAACTTCAGAGCAAAAGGCACTTTATTTACCAGGTATCAAGAACAAACACTTTGAACTCTTTAGCAATACAATACTTATCTGCAAAAGTCAAAGTCTTGTTTGCAAATTCTCTTTGCTCCTAAAATGATGAGAGTTACAATATGCACAAATGACCTTCTCTCTGAGCCACATTAGTAGCTTATTCAGCATGGTGACCTTTCCCTCCACAGATGCTACTGTAAATCAATGATGAAGATGCCAGATCCCAGTTCAGGGTTCAGTATCATCATTTTCTCTTTTTAATGAAAGAGCCTAAACACTGTGTTATGAAGCTTTCCATCAAATTGAGTATCCCTGCTATCTTCTGCAATAAAACCTATTTTTGTTCCTTTCTAAATTTATTGCTATAGCTGACACTTGCCCTCTCATAAACATTGAGAAAGGACAGTGATTCTCTTTCCTTTTCATGTCTCTCTACTTCACATTAATACATGTTTTAAAACATATATTATATTTTAAATTAATACATCCTGATAGTTGGAGGAGGAGAAAAAAGATGGGGGCTTCCAAGTATATTAAGATATTTGAGAATAAGGTAAATTAGTCATGGTGGATTTAATTTACTTTAATGTAGTCACTTTTTATCCATCACTGACTAATAAATGCTGAAATTTAGGGATGACTTTAACCTTTATAAGGAAGAATTTGACCCTAAAGGCAAATAAAAGGTCTCAATAATTAACTAATAGATGAGGGAAAAGTTTCATGTTTGCATCCCATCCTCTTACAATGATTATAAAGTAGGATCCAATAAATGATTAGCTCAGTAATGAGTTTCTAAATATTTCCAGTTTTTGTAAGGAGGAAGATGTGCTAGTGAAATTCAACAACCTTAATTTGCATGGGATTAGAAGTTGGCAGGCAAAGTGCTCAAACATATATAGTTCCTGCAAAAGTATTGTTTGAATTTTTTAGCTCCTTAATTGTTTTAAAGCCTTCTAGTGTTATATTGTAAATGTAAAATAATGTTATTCTTTATATTTTGATGGTCACTAGATAAGACTAAATGAATAAACAGTAGATAAGTAGAGGAAGGATGTTATATAAAAGATGCACTTACAGACACTGTGATGAATAGATACTTGTAACTATCAATGGAACAAACATTTTCTTAAATATTTTCCCTAAATGTCATTATCCTCATGGAATTTATTACTATGCAGTCATGTACTGCGCAATGCCCTTTCAGTCAACAATGGACTGCATATAAGACAGTGGTCCCACAGGATTATAGTGAAGCTAAAAATTTAATATTGCCAGTGACTTCATAGCTATTGATTGACTTAGTCATTGTAGTGCAACACAATCCATTATCTTTTCTATGTTTACATAGATTTAGATACACAAATATTTACCACTGTGGTACAATTGCCTATAGTATTCAATGCAATAACATGTTGTACAGATTTGAAGCCTTGGAGAGCAATAGGCTACACCACATAGTCTATGTGTGTAGTTGGGTATACTATCTAGGTATATTCATGTACATTCTTATATTAATATTTGCACAACAACAGAATTGGCTATGAGATTTTCAGAAGGTATTCTCATTGTTAAGTGATGAATAATTGTACTTTATTCCTGTCAGTTTTAAAAGCTACTATTTTCTGGTATAATAATTATCCTTCTATTTTTAATTTATTTAGATTTTCTATATCTCTTAAAATATAATCTATTTTCTCTTTTTAAATTTTGAAAGTAATATATCATCATTATAAATAGTTTTTAAAATATAGAGTGGTGCATATGAAAAACAATGCACTCATAATCCCAATGCCTTGAGGAAATTACTACCCACATGATAACTGTCTCTTTCCAATATTTGTTACCACACAAATATCCATATACTTACCTTTTGCAATGCAATGGGATCTGACTGTATAACAATTTTTTAAATATTAACATCTTATTTGATCATTTTACTGAAGTATTTGAGTCTGAAATACTATTTTAATTGCCACAAAAGATACATCATATGTATTGTTATACCTTGATTTACTTACCCATTCTTCTAGTTTTAGTTAGATAGTTTAAAAAATGGGTTCTTGTATTTGAAAATCAATGTCTTATTAATTATGCCATTGGAAGTGATTTCTCAAACTATTCTCTAGAAATATTTACTAATATTATATCCACCATTTATGTATTAGGGTATATCTCTTACTGTAGCTTGCATTAATTTTTTAAAAACCTCTGCTGATCTGATATGTGGAACCATGATATCTTTCTTTTAATACAGATTACAAACTTTAGTTCCATAATTTTCACCTATGATATTTACACACGTACACATACATTTGATGAAGTGATTGGGGAGACAAGTCTTTAATAGTCTATCTGCAGGGCAACATGCATGCAGAAGGTTCTTCTTAGGAAAAAAGGAAACTTGAGAAAAAAATACAATGAGAAGAAAAGTGCATGCCATTCTCTAATATTGATTTAGGGTATAACCCAATGAATCCTTAAAGGGGTAATGCATATATATAATTGATGACTCTTTGGAAGAGTTGGAAATTTGGGGGCAATGCAGTACTATTTTTAGGCCCAGGATATAAAGAATGGTAAATTGATGGGAAAATAGGCTTCTGACATTTAAGAACATGTAAACTTGTGGTATATCTTCATGGAACACCACAATTTAAATATATGATCTCATATGTGTTCAACATGGTTTGTTCATTGGTTTGCTAGTTTTTTAAATCAATCTATTCTTAAGGCAATATCAGCTGGTATTAAATAGCTTTCTATATATTTTTTAATCTATAAGATATATTCACATATTTATCCTTCCAAATGAACTTCCTAAACACTATTTTTTAAAGTAACATAGGAAGACAAAAAATTTAATTTTGAATGAAATTTATATATTAACAAGTATTTTCCTTTATATATTAACATGTAATATATAAAAATTTAACAAGTTTATATATTAACAAGTAATTCTCTTTCTTTACCTACCTCAGGCCTTTCTTCTCTTCACAGGATGAGATGAGATTTTGTTCACTTATGTGTCCTTCCTTAAATATTTTATGTATATGCAAGCATATATATGTTTGTAATTATATGTATATGTATCTTTATGTACAAATATTGATATAGATATTTTTAACAATTGTAATTTTTTCTACCTTCTTCCCACTTATTTACTAGTTCAGCATAAAATATTAACATTAATTTCCTTTTTGACTTATACTTTTGGTAAATATAGCTAAATATTTGGCTATAAAAATTTTTCTGCCAAAGATTTAGGTTTTTTTAAAATCTACTACATATTGCTAAAACACTATCAGAGAAATCTCAGCACTATAAATTCATATAGATATAATTGAACTTTCCTTAGATTTACAATTAGTAATGGTGAAGAAGATACTTTTAATGCTTATCTGAATTCTGCTCTCTCATTATTTTGGGTACAGTGGACATTAAACTCTCACTACCTGTTCATAAAGGAGGCTGGGCATGGTGGCTCACGCCTGTAAACCCAGGACTTCGGGAGGCTGAGGCGGGTAGATCACAAGGTCAGGAGATCGAGACCATCCTGGCTAACACGGTGAAACCCCGTCTCTACTAAAAATACAAAAAATTAGCCGGGCGTGGTGGCACGCGCCTGTAGTCCCAGCTACTTGGGAGGCTGAGGCAGGAGAATGGTGGGAACCCAGGAGGCGGAGCTTGCAGTGAGCCGAGATTGCGCCACTGCACTCCAGCCTGGGTGACAGAGCCAGACTCCATCTAAAAAAAAAAAAAAAAAAAAAGAGTTAACATAGCAGTCCTGTGATTATTAACTTTAGAACGACCTGCTTGCAAGGTTGGACCTTGGCTGGCATCTTGGAACTTGGCTCTCTGAGTTTTCCTAGTCAATAGTTGACCAATAATCGCAGTTTGCTGTGTCTAGGCTGCTTATAATTTAGACTGAACACCTGCTATTCTTCTGTGAATCTGAAATTTGGTATTTTCTAGGCAGAGGGTACCCACATGGTCAACACCCAGTAAAATCTCTTGGGCACTGAATCTCTAATAAGTTTCGCTGGCAGACAATGCTTGACATGTATTCCAACACAGCTAATTGCTAATGGAATTAAGCATGTCTATGTGACTCCACTGGGGAAAACAAAAACAAAAACAAAACAAAACAAACAAACAAAAAAATCTTAGAAACTTATACCTGGCTTCTTATTGATTTCACCCCATGTATATTTTTTATTTTCTTAATTTTGCTTTGTATCTTTTTACTATAAAAAATCTTAGTCATGAGTAGAGTGATATGCCGAGTTCTATGAGTCCTCTTAGGGACTACTAGAAGTGGTCTTACAGACATCAGCATATTCTCCCTTGCAATTGGGCAGGGCCATATAGTTACTAGACATTCTGTTTTTGGTAGAAGTGATATGCCTCATTCTGGGCTGGAGCATTAAATTATGAGTGTGAGGCCTTTTATTGTTTCTTTCTCTTTGAGATGGTAAAAAAAATATATATATATATATATTCGAGAGAGCGAAGACTTATAAGGATGAGGCTAACAGTCAGAATGACGTGGAGCAAAGCACTGGGCTGAGACAAGATGGAATTTATATGGTAAGAAGTGAACTTTTAATTGTCTTAGCCATTAAAATTTTAAGGTGTTAGGCTATTGCAGCATAATAGCAAGGCAATCTTGACGTACATAAATATTATACTTTTGCTGTGCTGAAAATCAGTTAATATTGCATGAAGGGTATTTATATAACAGATTAATAACAATAATTACTTAGCATGCATGGAAAATTGCATTACCCATCATTTATACTTAAAATTTTAATGGTCATATTTTATTAGAACATAATATAGGATACTGCATGGTTTTGTTTTTTTCTTACAAATAATACTGACAGCCTTGACAAGTTATTACAAAGAATATGAAGTAAATCAAAATATTCAATAACATGAGAAAATATTTTCATAAACCTTTCTGAGAGTTGATTATATATGTAAGAATCATCATTTGAGAATATTTTCAAAATTAGGGGGTTGGTAGATATTAACAATCAGTTACTGAATAAAAAGCTGATGTAATTAAAATGGCATGAGTGGATGGCCTTTCCCTCCACTTTTTATTAACATTGGACTATGTGTTGACTACATACTACAGGACATGACTTATTAGCTAAGCTTAGCAACGGAAGTGTCAGAACAAAACTGAAGTTGGATGCAGCTCGATGTGACAACCTAATATTTACTCAAAGTAATAAACATGGCCAAGAAACTAAAGAAATATTCAAATGTCTCAAAAATGTACTTTATTGCAGAGGAAATTTATGGATCCAAGTTAACTTTATCTCTTTTCTTAGAGATTTTCAATTGGAATGTGGATATATTTGCTGTTACGTTCAAAGAACAAAAATGAGAGCTAAATATTTTAATAATTTTTATTTTCTAATCTGTTTTTTTAAAATTTTTCCCTTAAAATCTTAAGAGATTATTACAAAGCTTAATTTCCCAGTGAAATCTTAGAAAGTCGAGGCCTAAATATTGAAACTTTTTCCTGATATTATAGCTATTATGAATTTTAAAAGGTACAATAAACTAAAATATGCTGTATAAATTTTCTTTTGGTTTTGCAAAAGACTAAACCTATTTTCTACCACTAATTTATATTCTGTTTTAAAGTGCAATCAATAAAATAAAAACTTTTTCTATAAATATTTTCAAATTATTATATAAATGCTGGTGCCTAGGATATGTTTGAATAATTTTATGATTGTATAGTTGATAAACACAGCCTTTCCTAATTGCTATTAATGTGGCTTGGTGTTTCTATGTTTTCTGATTTGGTGGGAAAATCTGTTGAATGTCAGGGTCTTTGCATTCTATAGTTTCCTATATAGGCTCAATTTAAAATTAATATAATTAACCATAATACCTTCTTTCTATTTTGTATCTAGCTATATCACAGTTTTATTAATGCTAGAGTTATAGGGAAATATATTTAATGAACTTAGTAAAGTATTTTTAAAATCAATTTTATTTTAAAATCTAAGTTTTAGATTTACAGAAAATTTTTGAAGATAGAACAGAAAGAATACCTATATATTTACATCCAATTTCCTCTATTACTAACATCTAATATTAGCATGGTACATTTGGTATAATTGATGAACTGATATTAATACATTATTATTAACTAAAAAGTCTATAGTGTATTCAAATTTCTTAATTTTTATCTAATATTCTTCTTCTGTGCCCAGATCCCATTAAAGGTATCATATTACTTTTTTTAGTCTCAGGATTCTTAAGCAGTAAGAGTAGCCCTGAATTTCTTTATGTAAATGACCTTGAAAGTCTAGGGGACTTTCTGGTCAGGTGTCTTATAAAATGTCTATAAGTCAGTATATCTTTGATGAATTTTACATTATTAGACTGGGTTTATATTTTGCTTTGTTTTGTAATTTACAGAGTGGGTGGAGAAGACCATAAAGATAAAGTACCAATTTCATCACATATATGGGCATATATATGAACATGACTTAACATTGCTGATGTTAGCAGTTGGCTAAGGTTGTGTTTGTCAGGTTTCTCTGCTGGAAAGTTAGCCTTTTCTCCCTATGCCTACTCTATCTACACTTTAGAATGACGTCACTACGTCCAGCCACACTTGAGTGTGCATAAATGCTTCACTTTCTTGATGCCAGAGTAATTGCACAAATGATTAAATGATGTTTTAGGTACTCTACATACTTCTGAAAAGGTGCCTTAGAAAGCATTGTTTGTAGCCATCACATACTAGAATGATTTCTGTAAATTAATCATGAAGGTGAGAGTCTGCGAGTAACTGTACACATTCTTATTGTTGAAAATGTTTTTTCCACTAACTGAAATCAAACCGAGAGTTTACTATACCAGGTATCATCAAACTTATGTACATAAAAATCATGAGTTCAGATGTGGTCTCCTAAATATGATAAAAGGTTTTGATGCATCGTACATTTAGAAACAATGTACAAGATACCATATATCCAACTATGTATCTACTGCCTTATATGTGTTTTATACTAATCAGATTCCCAAATTTTATAGATTAAATAATTTTCTTATATAATTCTCACAGGAAGAGTGGTATGCTATAAAACCTACGTTCCCTCATTCCCTAAGCAGTTATTTCTCTAGTGTCTCATATTAAATTTTTTTTTGCTTTGAGTACAAACTTGATTATGAAATTTGGTATATTAATTCAAAACCTCCCGATATTTGTTAGCTTTCTCCAGAGGAACATAACCAATAGGATGGACACACACACACACACACACACACACACACAGAGGCATATATACATATCTACACATATATATTTGCATTCTTGAGTCTCCCTAGACCAAAGAAAGCAAAGAGGTAGATATACAACAAGCCTACTTCCAGTATCTGTCTCTTCATGATCACAGGGTGCAGTATGAATGAAAGTGCAGGCATTTGTCTCAGGTTTTCTCTTAGTCTTAGTGCAGAGAGTGTGAAAGTTAAACATCCACTCGCAGCTTCAACATGAGTATAGAAAGACCTGGAATAAATATCTGACAACCTACCTTTCCAGCAACATCTAAAGGATATGTATTCTACCTTACCTATTTTGAGGAACCAGCACGATATAGTACATTCTAATCCAGGACCAGCAAAAACAGAAGCAGGGGTTTAAACAATCAATCACAAATATTTGAGGAGTATCTCAAACTATCTGACTGGACAAATTGGTGAGATCCTTCTCCTACATGAGGCAGGTCTGACAAGACTGGGAGAAGCTATTGTCTTCCATAATGTGCAGGAAGCAACAGACATTCAGGAGAAATGAAGAAGCAGGGAAATATATTAGAAATAAAATAATAAGATAAATTATCAGAAACTGACCCTAGTGAAATAAAGATATGTGATTCACCCAGCATAGGATTAAAAATAATGGTCATAAGGATACCTATCAAGATCAAGAGAGAAATGCAAGAGCAAATTGAAAATTTCAACGAAAAAAATAGAAGGTATAAAAAAGCACCAAACAAACATAAATCATAGAGCTAAAGAATATTATAACTGAACTAAAATTCAATAGAAGGTTTCAGCAGTGAACTAGATCAAGAAGAAAAAGAATCTGTGAATTCAAACACAGGTCACTGGAAACCATCGAATATGAGGAGAAAATGAAATTAAAAAGGAACAAAAGTAGTTTAAGGGGTTTATAGAATACTAACAAGCACAACAATACGCATTATCAGAATTGAAGAAAGGAAAGACAGGAAGAAAGTGTAAACATATTTATGCAAATAAAAGCACAAAACTTCCTAAGGCGGGGGAAGAGAACAGAAATCTAGAATCAGGAATCTCAGAACAGCAGATAAGATATCCATAGAGACACAATATAATTAAATTGTCAAAAGTAAAGACAAAGAAAGAATTTTGAAAACAGCAAGGGAAATGCTACTTGTCACATACAAGAAGAATCCATAAAACTATCAGCAAAGTTTTCAGCAGAAACCTTGCACATTAGAATGGAATGAGATGATGTATTCAATATCCTGAAAGAAGAAAACTGCCAACAAAAATATGATGTCAGCAATCCTGTTTTCCAAATATAAATGGGAGATAAAGACTTTCTCAAACAAAAGTTGAAGAAGTTTATCAACATGGGACTTACCTTTCAAAACAGTCTAATGTTATAAATCAATATGTAAATCAATTATAACTCTAGTAAAACCTTAAAAGACAAAACTATTTATTTATTTTATTATTATACTTTAAGTTTTAGGGTACATGTGCACAACGTGCAGGTTTGTTACATATGTATACATGTGCCATGTTGGTGTGCTGCACCCATTAACTCGTCATTTAGCATTAGGTATATCTCCTAATGCTATCCCTCCCACCTCCCCCCACCCCACAACAGTCCCCGGTGTGTGATGTTCCCCTTTCTGTGTCCATGTGTTCTCATTGTTCAATTCCTTAAACCAACTATAGCTATAGTAGTTTGTTAATGGATACAAATTATAAAAAGATGCATATAATGTATTATATAAAGATGTATGTGAGGAATACATAAAGTCTGAAAGTGAAGAAATAAAAAGTTATTCTATGTAAAAGGTAGCCAAAGAAAGCACAAGTGATTATAATTCCACAAAATGGATTTAAATAAAAAACTATCTCTAGGGATGAAGTTCATTATCCAATGAGACAGTCAATTTAACTAGAAGATATAATAATTATAAGCATATATGCACCCAGTATCAAAGCACCTAAATATATAAACAAACATTGGCAGATATAAAGAGAGGAACTGATAGCACTATATTAATAGTAGGATACTACAATATTCCACTTTCAATAATGAATGGAATATCCATACAGCTGACTTGAACACTGTTACAGACCAAAAGGAACCGACAGACATATTTATAACTTTCCAACCAACAGCAGATTACACATTCTTTTCAAGAGCACACAGACAATTCACCAGAACAGATTATATGTTAACTACAAAAAAAGTCTTGACAAACTGAAGAAGATACAAATCATTCCAAGTACCTTTTCAGAACACAGTGAAATGAAACTAGCAATTAGTAACAGTGAGAAAATTGGAAAATTAATTTTCATAAAAACTGAAGCACACATTTTTGGGTAATCATTGGATCAATGAGTAAAATCAAAAGGTAATTTTAAAAATATATTCAGGCAAAACAAAATGAAGATACAACACAATGAAATGCATTTTGTGCATGAAAAGCAGCATTAAGACAAAGGTTTATAGTAATAAATGCCTGCATTAAAAAATCAAATAAGGAACCCAACTTTAAACCTCAAGGAACAATATACAGTACAAATAAGCAAAAAGTTATCAGTAGGAAGAAAATAATAAAAATTAGAGGTAAAATAAAGCAAACAGAGAACAGAAAAAAATAAAAGAAACGAATAGTTATGTAGTTTTTAAAAAAAATAAAATAAATAAGCCCTTATCTAAACTAAGAAAAAAAGAGAACACTCAAGTAAACAAAATTAAAAATGAAAAAGGAGACATTACAGTGAACATCTCAGAAATAAAAAAGGATCATTAGGGACTTTAATAACTAATTACATGCCAACAAATTGGATGGTTGGGAAAAATGGATATCCACCTGCAAAAAAAAAAAAAAAAGAAAGAAAAAAGAAAAAATAATTGGACTCCCATAGAATACACAAAAATCAACTCAAAATACATTAAAGACTAAAATATAAGCCATGAAACTATAAAACTAGTAGAAGCAAAAATAAACAAATGAGACTATATTAAACTAAAATGCTAATGCAATACAAAAGAAACAGTCAACAAAATAAAAAGGCCACAAAAAATTTGGGATACAATATTTGAAAATTATATATTTTATAAGAGGCTAATATCTAAAATATGTGGGGAACTTCTACAACAACTTAAAAGCAAAAACACCACAAATAACCTGAATATAAAATGGGCAAATGACCTGAATAGACATTTTTCCAAAGAAAACCTACAAATTCCCAGCAGATATAAATGAACAAATGTTATAGATATAGATATACACATATAATGGGATATGATTCATCCTTAAAGAGAAAGGAAATCTTTCCATTTATGACAACATGGATGAACCTAGAGGATAATATGCTAAATAAAATAAGTCAGACACAGGAAGATGAATACTCTATGGTCTTGCTTATATGTGCCATCTAAAAAACTCAAATTAATTGAAACAGGTAATAAAATGATGGTTACCGGCGCAAGGAAAAGGAGAGGTGTTGGTTAAAGGTGCAAAGTTTCAATTATGTAGAAAGAATAAGTTATAGCGATCTAATATATAGCATGGTGATTATAGTTAACAATACTGTATTGTACACCTGAAATTTGCTAATAGCGTACATTTTTAGTGTTCTCACCACGTATATAAAAAAGATAAAAATGTGAGGTCATGAATATGCTAATTAGCTTGATTTGGGTAACCTTTTCACAATGTCTGTGTGTATATACATGTTATGTGTCTTAAATATATACAATTTTTATTTAAAAAAAATAAAAAAAAATAGAGCTTTGAAGATAGACTTGAAATATAAAATATGCAACAAGCTTCTTTTTTTTTTTTTTTTTTCTGAGATGCTTTTAGCATACCTCAGCCACTTGGAAAGAACAACATAGTCCATAAGATTAACTCTGTGAGCTTTAATTCAAGAAGGTAAATGAGAATCAACCAGAATCATGAAGGACATCTCAAATCTCAGGAAGAACACAGGCAAATAGCTCCCCTGACAGCATCCAGCTGATAATAGTGAGTGAACCCTGAATATGTGAGAGTGGCAGATCTTCCTTCTGTGACTCATCTTTCCCCTGGGGATCCAGGCAACAAGTCCAAGGGAGGGCACTTTGTTTCTCCCAAGCCCTGGAGCTAACTTAGGGAGAGGTTTGAGATACTGTGAGGAAAAGACATCAGGAAAATCTGCAGGCATTTTCCCAGAAGTGGAACACCATTTTTAATCCGAGCACATACAAAGTTTACCATTCTTTGGCAACCCAAATGTGTGCCCATGCAGGCATTTCAGTCTTGGGCCAGAGAATGGTGCGCTTGCTCTAAAGTTGGGTAGGGGCCTCCACAGCCAGAACTATGGAAAGCGCTTCAGCAGTAGGCACTGGAATTGTACTCTTCCCCATTGCAGGCCTGGGGCAGGAGGAGAGCTGCTACAGCTGCAGTTTATCCTGGACAATGAGACTTACAGCCAGGGCCTGCTTGGAAACATGCAGTCAGTCTACATGTATCATTCCTGGGTGCCCCAGACTTCTCCCTGAGACTGTGGTGCAGCGGGGCCCTCTTTGCTCCATCCAGACATTTGGAACACCCACTTGCCTGAACCAACAGCCTGAGCCATCACACATTCATGAATATAGATCATTTTGCAATGTCTCTCTACTCCACACCCAGGCAAATGTCTAGGTATTCAGAACACCCCCTCAACTAGATCAGCAACCTGAATTGCATCACTCTTTCTGTGCAGAGATTCAGTGCCACAAAGACCTCTCAACTCCATGCTCAGGCAGATCTCTAGGTATTCAAAACACCTGCTTGCCTGGATTGGCAGGCTTGAGTTGCCCCACTCTTTCTGTACAAAGATCCATGTGCAAGGGCCCCTCCCCATTTCACATTCAGGCAGATCTGCAGGCATTCAGAGGACCTGTCTGTATGGTCCAGCAGCCTGAGTCTTTCATCATTCCTGTGCAGTGGTTCTGATGTAGGGAACCCTCCTCACTTCACGCCCAGGCAAATCTTCAGGCATCTGGAGCACCTGCTCTTCTGGGTTAGGAATTTAGGCCACCTGCCACCCCCACTATCCCCATGCACAGAACTTGGGGCTGAGAAGGATTCCCAGTTCCATGCCTAGGCACATCTCTGTGCACTTGGTGGCAACTCAGTGGGTTCTCCATTGGCATTGATGTCTGTGCCTGCCATCATGGGACCTGTAGGTGAGTCTTCCTGGTCTGGCCCTACCCACGTTGCCCCCTCACCATCCTGGGGCTGAGAAAGGAGTTCAGACAACTGTGTATTCCATGCATCAACCCATTGGCAGAAGCAACAAAGAGTTTTTTTTTCCCACTAAATAGGTATCAAGCATTTACTCAGCTGTGTTGGCCATAGCTGGCTCTTACATATAAGTGCCATCTACTGGCTTATAGGTCAAACTGAATAGTTTATTATAAAACTAGCCTCAGCAGTGCGTAGGGCTATAAAAGCAAAGCCAAAAGACCCTATCTATAATTTTTTGCAGACACAGTCTCTAGAGAGGGTGAAAAAAAAGAAAGGGAAATGAGAAGAAAATCCAATAATATTATACAGAAAGAAAGTAAAAGAAAAAATTCTACCTGGATAAAGATACTTACAATGATTAGAAGCACCAGTATCTCCAGATAAGAAAGAATAAGTGCAAGAGTTCTGGCATTATGAAAAATCTGAATTTAATGACACCACCAAAGGAGAACACCAGCTCTCCAGCAATAGTCCCTAACCAAAATAGACACTCAGAAATGACAGAAAAGGAATTTAAAGCATGGAGTCATGGAAGCTCAGTGAGATGCCTGCAAGGTTAAAAATCAACACAAAGAAACTTCTAAGGCAATCCAGGAAAGAAGAAAGAGATAAACATTTAAAAAAAAAATCATTAGAGCTAAAGGAATTGAAGAACTCCGTTAAGAATTTGAAAGCCCAATTAAAAACTTTATCAATAGATTGGCCGAATCAGAAAAAAAAGAATTTTAGATCCTGAAGAACAGTATCTCAAATTAACCAAGTATGACAAAAATAAAGAAAAAATAATTGTAAAAAATGAACATTTTTCAAGAACTGTAGGATTATATAAAGAGACCAAATCTACAAAATGTTGGCATTTCTAAGAGAGACAAAAAATGTAAACAACCTGGAAAACATACTTGAGGAAATAATTCAAGAAAATTTTCCTAATCTTGATAAAGAGGTAGACACCCAGATGGAAGAAACACAGAGAACACCTGTAAGATACTACATAAAATGAACATCACAACAGCATACAGTCACCAGACTTCCCAAGGTCAATGCTAAAGAAAAAATCTTAAATGCAGCTAGAAAAAAAGATCAGATTACGTACAGAATGAACCCCATCAGACTAACAGATTTCTCAGCAGAATGCTTATAAGACAAGAGATATTAGTGGCCTATTCTCAGCATTCTTAAAGAAAATAATTTCCAGCCAGGAATTTTATATCCTGTCAAGATGAACTACATAAGCAAAGGAGAAATAAAAGTTTTTCAGGCAAGCAAGTGCTAAGAGAAATTTTTACCACTAGACCAACTTTACAAGAGACACTTAAGAGATTTCTAAACATGGAAATGAAAGACCAATACCTGCTGCAACAGAAACACACTTAAAATCATGGATCACAGGCCCTACAAAGTAACCACTAAATATAAACTATAAAACAATCAGCTGACAACTTCATGATAAGATCAAAACCTCACATATCAATATTAACCTTGAATGTAAATAGTCTAAACACCCATTTAAAAGTCACAGAGTGGCAACTTGGATTAAAAAAAAAAAACAAGGCCCACCTGTCTGCCTTCTTCAAGAGACCCATCTTACATGTAATGAAACCCAAAGGCTCAAAATAAAGGGTTGGAGACAAATCTACCATGCAAATGGAAAATGAAGAAGAGCATGAGTTATTATTCTAACATCAGATGAAACAGACTTTGAGCCAACAGCAGTTAAAAGGACAAAGGAGGGTATAGCATAATGATAGAGGGTTCAGTTTAACAAGACTTAACTATCCTAGATATATATGCACGTAACATTGGAGCACTCCAGTTCATAAAACAAATACTTCTAAATCTGTAAAAAGACACAGGCAGTCACACAATAACAGTGGGGGAACTTCAACACTCCACTGATAGTGTTAGACAGATTGCCTAGGTAGAAAATTAAGAAGGAAATTTTTGACTTAAATTTGGCACTTGACCAATTGGACCTGATAGACATCTACAGAATATTATACCCATTTACCACAGAATATACATTCTTCTCATCTGCACATGAAACATACTTCAAGATTGACCATATGCTTGGCCATACAAGTCTCAATAAATTTTAAAAAATCAAAATCATACCAGTTATCTCTTGTACCAAATTAGAATAAAAATAGAAATTTCTACAAAGAAGATCTCTCAAAACTATAAAAATACAAGGAAATTAAACAACTTGCTCCTGGATGACTTTAGGGCTAATAATGAAATTAAGCCAAAAATCAAAACAATACTTGAAATAAATGAAAATGGAGACACAACATACCAAAATCTCTGGGATGCAGGAAAAGCAGTGTTAAGAGGAAAGTTTATACCCCTAAATGCCTACTTCAAAAAGTTGGAATGATCTCAATTTCAGGACCTAACATTACATCTACAGGAGCTAGAAAAAACAAGAACATACTAACCCCAAAGTTGGCAGAAAAAAAAAGAAATAACTAAACCAAAGCAGAACTGAATGAAACTGAGACCCCCAAATCCATACAAAGGATCAACAAAACCAAAATTTGTTATTTGAATAAATAGGATAGACCACTAGATAGACTAACAAAGAAAAAAGAGAGAAGGTTGAAAGAAGCATAATCAGAAATGGCAAAGGTAGCATTATAACTGATCCCACAGATACAAAAAAAAAGATACTTATGGATCATTATAAACAACTCTATGCACAAAAAATAGAAAATGTAGAGGAAATGCTGGGATTCCTGGTAACATAATGTCCCAAAATTGAGTAATGAAGAAATTTAAACCTTGAACAGACCAATATCAAGTTCTGAAATTGAATCAGAAATTTAAAAAAAAATCTATCAACCAAAAAATAAGCCCTGGACCAAATGAATTCACATCCAAATTTTCACAGATGTACCAAGAAAAGCTGGTACTGATTCTAATTAAACTATTCCAAAAAATTGAGGAGGAGAGAATACTCCCTAACTCACTCTACAAATCCCATATCACTGTGATACCCAAACCTGGCAAAAACACACCACCACCACCAACAAAGAAAATTTCAAGCCAATATTTCTGATAAACATAGATGTAAAAATCCTCAACAAAATGCTAGCAAACTGAATCTAGCAGCACCTCAAAAAGTTAATTCATCATGATCAACTAGACTTCGTTCCTGGGATGCAAGGTTTGTTCAACATATGCAAATCAATAACTGTGATTTACTACATGAATATAATTAGAAACAAAAACCATATGATCATCCCAATAGATGCAGAAAAAGCTTTGGATAAAAAATCCAACATTCATACATGGTAAAGGAAAACTTTCAAGCATTCTCCTTGAGAACTGAAATAAGAGAAGGATGGCTACTTTCACTACTACTATGCAACACAGTAATGGAAGTTCTTGCCAGTGTAATCAGGCAAGACAAAGAAATAAAAGACATACAAATAGGAAAAAAAAGTCGAACTCTTTCTCTTTTTTTGACAATATGATTCTGTACCTGGAAAACTCAAGACTCCACCAAAAGGCTCCTGGAACTGATTAACAATGGTAGTAAGATTTTAGGGTAGAAAATCAATGTACAAAAATCAGTAGCATTTCTATTCATCAATAATATTCAAGCTGGAAGCCAAATAAAAAATGCAATACTATTTACAATAGCCAGACCAAAATAAAATACCTAAGAAAACATATAACCAAGGAGTTGAAAATCTCTACAAGAAGAACTATAAAACACTGCTGAAAGAAATCACAGATGACACAAATAAATGGGAAGATATTTCATGTTTATGGATTAAAATAATCAATATTACTAAAATGGCCATACTGCCCAAAGCAATCTATGGATTCAATGCTATTCCTAGCAAGCTACCCATATCATTTTCCACATAACTGGAAAAAACTATTCTGAAATTTATATGGAACTAAAAAAGAGCTCAAATAGCCAAAGCAATTCTAAGCAGAAGGAACAAAACCATCACATTACCTAACTGAAAATTATACTATCAGGCTGTAGTAACCAAAACAGCATGGTACTGGAACAAAAACAGACAAATAGACCATTGGAGCAAAATAGAAAACCTAAAAATAAAGCCACACATCTACAGCCATCTGATCTTAAACAAAGTTCACAAAAATAAGCAATGGAGAAAGGACTCTCTATTCAATAAGTGGTTCTGGGATAGCTGGCTAGCTATATGCAGAAGAATGAAACTGGACCTCTCCCTTTCACCATATACAAAAATTAACTCAAGATGGATTAAAGACTTAAATGTAAAACCTGAAAATACAAGAATAATAGAAGAAAAGCTAGGAAACACCATTCTGGACATCAGCCTTGGAAAGGAATTTCTGACTAAAGTCCTCAAAAGCAAGAGAAACAAAAATAATAACTGACACATAAGACATAATTAAACTAAAGAGCTACTGTATGACAAAGGAAACTATAAACAGAGCAAAGAAAAAACTTACAGAGTGAGAGAAAATATTCATAAACTATGCATCTGACAAAGGTCTAATATCCAGAATGTATAAGGACCTTAAACAATTGAACAAGAAAAAAATAACCCCATTAAAAATGGGCAAAAGAGATGAAAAAACATTTCTCAAAAGAAGGCATACAAGCGTTCAACAAATATATGAAAAAATGCTTGTCATCACTAATCATCAGAGAAATGCAAATCGAAACCACAATGAGATAACATCTCACAACAGTAGGAATAGCTATTAGTAAAATGTCTAAAAACAACAGATACTGGCGAGGCCGTAGAGAAAAGGGAACACTTATGCACTCTTGGTGGGAATTTAAATTAGTTCAGCCACTGTGGAAAGCAATCTGGAGATTTCTCAAAGAGCTTAAAACAGAAATAACATTTGACCCAGCGATCCCATTACTGAACATATATTCAAAAATATAAATTATTCTACCCAAAAGACACATGCACTCATATGTTCATCACAGCACTATCCACAAAAACAAATGGAACCATAAAAAAGAATGAGATCGTGTTCTTTGCAGAAACATAGATGTATCTGGGGGTCATTATCTGAAGTGAACAAATGCAGGAACAGAAAACCAAATACCACAAGTTCTCGCTTATAAGTGGGAGCTAACCATTGGGTACATGTGGAAATAAAGAGGGGAAAAAAAGCCACTGGGGACTACTATAAGGGAGTTAAAAGAAGAAAGGCTTGGAAAACAAACTATTGGATACTATGCTCAGTACTTGAGTGATGAGATCAATTATACCCCAAACCTAAGCATAATGCAAGATACTCATCTAACAAAAGTGCACCTGTACCCCCTCAATCTAACATAAACGTTGAAATTATTCAAATAAATAAAAGAAGAACCAAAACACAAAAAAATAGATTCCTGTCCCTCAGAAAAGACCTAATAAATCAGAAACTCCGAGGAGAAGGCCTAAGAATCTATATTTTGGCAAGGTCCTTCAAGTAATTTTTAGATACTCTAATATTTGACTTATAAATATACATCAATATGGTAAGTGTAATTTGCTTTGTGACCATGATCGTTGCCTTCTTAATACTTATTTTTCATGTATGTAAAATAAATATGTCAAAGTCATTTCTAAAACTAAGCAAACAAATCAATCAATAAATAAATGAATAAGCAAGGAAATTGTGCATGCATGCATGTGTGTGTGTGTGTGTGTGTGTGTGTGTGTGTGTGTGTGTGTACATATCCAGTCACTAACATCTCCTCCTAAAAATAACTACTATCTCTATAAAATAGTTTTGGCTGTTTCAGTTAATGAACATATCATATAGCATAAAGTATTTGTGTCTCATTTCTTTCATAGTAATGTGCTTGTAATATTTGCAATGTATTATTTCTTTAACAAAGTGGTGTTACATGAGCATGATTAATTCCGGATATTTTCCAAATTGTACAATTAAGATTATAAATTTTTTAAATTTAGAAAAGACTTCCACAATATGTTTCTGTAAAACAATAACAAATTGTTGGTAACACAGAGTAAACATGGAAGACTGAAAATAAATCTAGAATCATACAGTATATTCATATTATTGGATGCCTAAATGTCAAAGCAAGGAGGGTTTGCTTAGGCAGTCAAAAGGCACTAATGACATTTGATAAAAAAGTAGTCAACAAAGATCACCACATGAATTATAAATATCATGCGTAAGTTTGAGCAACTTATATGAATAGTAAATGTTTACAGAATGAATGAATGACAATATGAAAATAAATAAATAATAGTGCAATGTTATAGAAATCCTAAATTAAGGAAAAAAAGTTTTCAGAAAAAAATAGTGCAAAACCTTAACAGCATATATCAGACATGAGGTAGATAAATATAATTTTTTTACAAAAGTGAGACTGATTTCTATTGCATTTGTGCATGTGACAAACATCATTTTGTAAAAGGGATGTAGTACTCCGTTATCATACTGCTATGAGGAAATGCTCAAGACTGAGTAATTTATAAAGGGAAAGAGGTTTAATGGACTCATAGCTCCAAATGACTGGGGAGACCGCACAATCATGGCAGAAAACAAAAGAGGAGCAGAGGCATGTCTTAGATAATGGCAGGCACGAGTGCATGTCCAGGGCACTGCCTTTTTAAAACCATCAGATCTTATGAGACTTATTCTCTGTCAGGAGAACAGCACAGGAAAAACCTGCTCCCATGATTCAATTACCTCCCACTGGGTCCCTCCCATGGAGGATGAGATGAGATTTGGGTGGGGACACAGCCAAACCATATCAAGGGGAGACAGCTTTCATTGCAAGTGGAAAATTTTAGTTTTTATTGCTTGAATCTATGATCCATTTGGAATGAAGAGCCTGGAGACATCCATAGAAAAAAGGACCATAATTGAAAATTTCCTTTTTTTAAAAAAGCACCACAAAATTAAGTAAATTTCCTTCTGATGAACATTATAGAAAGCAGAATGGCATGACCATTTTTGCTTCTCTATTAATTCTTATAATTTATTGATTTATGCAATAGAAATTAGGACCCAACTTTCAAGAGTAATAATAAAAGTAAAAACATTATGGAATTCTATATTAAAAGTTTAAAATATAGGCATTTCTCACTAGGAAGATTTCTCAGTGAGTAGTGATTGGGAGCTGTGATAGAGTGCAAAAATAAAACACAATTGCTTCCAATATCATCCATCATCATGTGAAATTGTTTTAACTCCTTGAACAACATGTACACTTGATAAAACCAAACTGCCAATGTAAAAACAAAATCGTATTTTACTCACTTATTTTTAAGCGACAAGTCGTCTATTACATATTTTTACTGAGTAATATGACCTAAAAGCAAAGCTCTCAATGATACAGAAGAAAAAGTAATGCTTGTATTGATTTTATTGGTCTGGTAGCATAATGAAATATTGACTCTAAATCAGATTTCAACTGATTCTCTTTGCATTTCTGTATTAGTTTGTTTTCATGCTGCTTATAAAGAGATACCCAAGACTGGGCAATTTAAGTCCATTAAACCTCTTTAAAGAGGCTCCACATAGCTGGGGAGGCCTCAAAATTATGGGGGAAGGCAAGGAGGAGCAAGTCACAACTTATGTGTATGACGGAAAGCAAAGAGAAAGATCTTATGCAAGGAAACTCCTTTTAATAAAACTATCAGATCTCATGAGATTTATCCCCTATCACAAGAACAGCAAGATTCAATTCAATTACCCCACACTGGGTCCCTTCCATGACATGTGGGAATTGTGGGAGTTACAATTCAAGATGAGATCTTGGTGGGGACACAGCCAAACCACATCATTCCATCCCTGGCCCATCCCAAATCTCGTGTCCTCACATTTCAAAACTAATCATGCCTTCCCAACAGTCCCCCAAAGTCTTAACTCATTTCAGTATTAACTCAAAAGTCCACTGTCCAAAGTCTTATCTGAGACAAGGCAAGTCCCTTCCACCTATAAGCCTGTAAAATCATAAGCAAGCTAGTTACTTCCTAGATACAATGAGGGTACAAGTATTGGGTAAATACATCCATTCCAAATGGGAGAGATTGGCCAAAACAAAGAGGTTACAGGGCCCATGCAAGTCCAAAATCCAGTGTGGCAGTCAAATCTTAAAACCCAAAAATGATCTCCTTTGACTCCATGTTTCACATCCAGGTCACATTAATGTAAAAGATGGGTTCCCATCGTCTTGGGCAGCTCCACCCCTGTGGCTTTGCAGGGTATAGCCTCCCTCCAAGCTTCTTTCATGGGCTGATGTTGAGTGTTCTCAGCTTTTCCAGGTGCATGGTGCAAGCTGCCCATAAATCTACCATTCTGGGGTCTGGATGACAGCAGTCCTCTTCTCACAGCTCCACTAGGCGGTGCCCCTGTAGGGACTCTGTGTGGGGGCTCCGACCCCACATTTCCATTTTACACTGCCCTAGCAGAGGTTCTCCATGAGGGCCTCACCCCTGCAGCAAACATCTGCCTGGGCATCCAGGCATTTCCATACATCCTTTGAAATCTAGGAGGAAGTTTCCAAACCCAAACACATGACTGCTGTGCACTTGCAGGCTCAACACCACATGGAAGCTGCCAAGGCTTGGGGCTTGCACCCTCTGAAGCCATGAACTGAGCCACAGCTGGAAAGGATGGGATGCAGGGCACAAAGTCACTAGGGTGCACACAGCTGGGGGGACTGGACCAGGCCCATGAAATCATCTTTTCCTCCTAGACCTCCTGGCGGATAATGAGAGGGGCTGCTGGGAAGACCTCTGACATGGCCTGGAGATATTTTCCCCATGCCTTTGGGGATTAACATTAGGCTCCTTGCTACTTATGCAAATTTCTGCAGCTGGGTTGAATTTCTCCTCAGAAAATGGGATTTTTTTTTTCTATTGTACTGTCAAGCTGCAAATTTTTCACTTTTATGTTCTGCATCCCTTACACAACTGAATGCCATTAGCAGCACCTGAGTCACATCTTGAATGTTTTGCTCCTTAGGATTTTCTTCTGCCAGATACCCTAAATAATCTCTCTCAAGTTTGAAGTTCCACAAATCTCTAGGGCAGGGCCAAAATGCCTCTAGTCTCTTTGCTAAAACATCACAAAAGTCACCTTTGCTCCAACAAGTTCCTCATTTCCACCACAGACCACCTCAGCCTGGACTTTATTGTCCATGTCCCTATAAGCATTTTGTGCAAAGCCATTCAACAAGTCTCTAAGAAGTTCCAAAATTTCCACATCTTTGTATCTTCTTCTGAGCCCTCCAAACTGTTCCAATCTCTGCCTGTTACCCAGTTCCAAAGTCACTTCCACATTTTCAGGTATCTTTTCAGCAACGCCCCACTCTACTGGTATGAATATACTGTATTAGTCCCTTTTCACATTGCTGATAAAGACACGCCCAAGACTGGGCAATTTACAAGAGAAAGAGGTTTAATGGACTTACACTTCCCCATGGCTGGAGAGGCCTCACAATCATGGCAGAAAGCAAGGAAGAGCAAGTCACATCTTACGTGGATGATGGCAGGCAAAGAGAGACAGCTTGTGCAAGGAAACTCCTGTTTTTAAAACCATCAGATCTCGTAAGACTTATGCACTGTCATGAGAACAGCATGAGAAAGATCTGCACTCATGATTTAATTACCTCCTACTAGGTCCCTCCCACAACACCTGGGAATTGTGGGAGTTATAATTCAAGATGAGATTTGGGTGCAGACACAGCCAAACCGTATCAATCTCCATTTCTCAAAAGTCTTACTATGTATGTTGAGTGTAAACTTTTTTTTTGTTTCCATGTCAAGCTTAAAATAGTTATAGTGAACTAGAATGAATGGTTAGCTTAACTTTATCTCAACATTAAGCTTTTGCGAATGGCTAAATTCCTGTTTGGAATGCACTTCTCTTGCATCTGTTTGGATCTTACAAGAAGCAGAAACCAAGACAGAACAAGATGCCAAAACAGGACATGATTTGGGGAAGGTAGGGTGGAAGTGACTGTAAATAATAAAAAGGAAAAAAAAAAACAAACAAACAACAAAAAAACAGGAGTAGTCAAGTACACCTTTCAGTCTGTGAAAGGAGATAAAGAAATAACTCAGATTGGAAGCACCTCAGGAAAAAAGTATAGATCAAAGTTTTTTCCAGAGAGATGGGGAATCCTCATGCAAAATTTTCACATGGGGATCTGTTTTAGCAAGGAACAGGCTGGCCTAGGTAATCTACCAAGTTCAATCGTTGATAGGGAGCAATTCAGGGAAACATTTCCTTGGCTAGAAATTGGTAGTAGAACCAAAAGGGAATTAGCGGGGGCTATTATTCATTTCTACTCCCCATAGAAAGAACTCTTGATGAGATCTGAGTATCTACAATACTGCCAAAGTCCACTGTTTACCCCACACAAATCCACTTCTTTATGCAGGCTCTTTATGCAGATTCAGGGAGCAGCTACTCCATGGTTCCTGTGGGACTCACTTGTTATGGGAAAAAGTAGAAGTGAGAGGTTAGTGGAAAAAAGTACACCCCCACATTGCTACAGGTGGACTTCAGTCCTGAGTATACTCAATGGTCGGTATCATTTTTGAGTGTGAGTATCCAATTGATACTCTTCTTCTCTCTTTCACTATCCTTTTAAAATAGCCCTCACCCTTTGCTATCACCTCAGCACCTAGTGATGTGATGCCAATCTTCATTTCTGAGGCAACTGAGCTCTTTTCAGCCTGGGGTTGCAGTACATATATTTCACAGTTACAGTTAATCAAGGGATTACACCAAAAGGCACCCACATAGATTACCTGGGTTTTATACACATTTCTGCATGCCTTTCTGCTGTTCACACTTAATTTCTCTTGCAAAGATGGTAATTCTCCTTTTAGTCCGTTGGTCCCTGGGCACAAGGAGGTCAAACTGCCTTGGCAGCAGCCATAGTTTTAGTTTCATGTCAGGCTGTATGTTTTGACAATAATGTGCCTCTTATGAGGGGCAGTAGTTGTGGGGACAGGTAGCAAAATTTCCTCCAATAGACCATTGAAAGTGACAGTAATTGCGGTAATATTTGATTTTAATGGTTGGTTTTTGGACCTATGCTTTTTTCTCATTAGGAAGACATGTTTGATTAAATGTATACACCATATCCAAAAAAAGTCAGCTCACTCATTCACAGTATTTGCTCTAAAGTGATGCTTCAGCTTTTCTTTCCATAGGCTTTTCCAGTGACCTATGATGTAGGATGCTTCTGAATAGTGCAGTGTGTGATATAATGAAGGGATTTTATGGATGTGGGTCTCATACCCATAACTTCTTTGCTACCAGGCAGGCCCTCTGGCCAGATGCTATGCTGTGCAGTATCACATGGCTGTGAATCAGATATGCCATAAGTCCCTAGATAACAGTGTTGGCTGAAGCTCTGCAGGAAGAAAATGTAAACCCATACCCAGAATAAGCATATGTCTCAGTGAAGATAAACCACTATTTTAGGATTAAAGAAGCTCAATTAGTCAACTTGCTAACAAGCGGTATTTGTCCTCAAGGGATAGTGTCATATGAATGTTTCAAGATTGATCTCTATTAATGGCAGGTTGGACATACAGAGGTTAAGAAAAAGATAGAACTACTTTGATAAGTAGAAGTCAAAGCTGATGGACCCACGCATAACAACTGCGCCCAAATGCAGCCTACTCCATTCATGTGCCACCATCAAATGCACAAGTAATTTTGTTTACTCCTGTTTTTCTGTGCCACTTCTGCAGTTGAATCTTTCTAGTTGGTGTTAACGTGATATGCCTAGCTTTTCAACAGTACCTCAGATATCCTTGTCCTCAGGCTTCAAATTTCCCACTTCAGGATTCTAACTAAAAACCCATTTTTAACTGCTCATGAATGTAAATATTCTAACCTAAAATCACATTTCCTTCCACATGAAGTAAGTGATCAGCTCCACCCACTGGGAAGATTTTCTCTTCTTATGTGCTTTTCCTGTTAACCCTAGATGTGTGTGTAATACAATCACTATCAAGTTTAAGGATTGCACTTGTATATTGAGCTGACCCATCCCCAAATCAAGTTCTTTCATTTTCCTCCTTCTGATCACATGGGACTCCTGTAGGTTCAGAGGTGGATCTGGAACAGAGATGTTGACATAGACCTTAGTAAGTGATACAGAGTTCTGGGCCACCTGCTCATGTAGCTTATTCATGCCCTCTGGTCCTCTTGGACCAAATTCTAAATCTACCATTTTCATCTGATCGTGGAGTACTGCTGGGTCCATCTGACTTTATGATTTGGAAGTTCCCAAGAAGCCATGCTCCTAATGAACAGTTCTACCATGCTATGGTTTGGATATGGTTTGTTGGTCCCCATCAAAACTTATGTTGAAACTTTATCCTCAATAACATGACTTTGGGAGGTGGGGACTAGTGGGAGGTGTTTGGGTCATGGAGGTAGATCCCTCATGAATGGCTGGGTAGTAAGGGAGTTGTCACTCTCACAGATTAGATTAGTTCTCTGAGAATAGACTAGTTCCCAAGAGAGCAGGTTGTTATAAGTCAAGTTTCCTCCTCATATTTGGCCCCCATTTGCATGTGTCTGCTTCCACTTTGACCTTCTCCACAATGTCAAGACACACTACTAAAGCCTTCACCAGAAGCCAGGGCTATGCTCTTCAATGTCTCAGCCTGCAAAAGAGTGAGCTAAATAAACCTTTTTCTTTATAAAAATGACACGGTTTCAGGTATTATTTTACAGCAATACAAAACAGACTAAGACACACAGTTATGGTTGCTTAGTGCCTAGTGGTCAAACATTTCATTTCAGTGTCACATTAGGACCTGCTTCTCAAAAAGTATAGAATTCTCCACCACACACGGTGTGGCCACGTTTTAAAATTACAAGGGCTTTTATTCTGATTCTCAAACGATGGCTTGCCATAAACTCCACACTGCATCCTTTCCAGCCCTTACACCTCCAATACAACAGAATCAGTCAGATTATGTGGTTCAGGTGGCAGAACTGCTTTCACAACAGCCTGAACCTGCTGCAAAACACTTTCGTGCTCTAGACCCCAGTCAAAACAAGCAGCTTTTTGTTTCCCCAGTATATGGGGCAAATCGGTATATTCATAGGTGGGAAACATGTTGGTAATATAACCACAAAAATCATACTAGCATAGGGAATAACATTTGTCTTTCTTTGATACAAATATCCTACCATACCCTCACCATAGAAACCCTAAAATAAACTTCAATTATGGGAAATGTTTCCGAATCTTCATGGGGTATCTTGCACCCCCTGAATTGTACTTGTTTACCAAGTCTCCAGTGTCCTAGCGCCTTCTTACTGCCATTATGTTCTGTCTGATCAGCATGATACCACTGATTTGATGGGCCAACATGATGTTCTGTGGTATGTCTAGGCAATGCACATACCGTTGGACTATATTACACAGGAGTATAGGAAATTAGCTCTGAGGTCAAGCTGTAAATTAAAATTGTTGTCTATTCTACATGAATGCAAACTCCTTATCCTCTCTTCTAATCAAAATAGAAAATAAATCACTTTCCATATCAATGACTCAATAACATGCACATAATCCCTTATTAATCCGTTCTTGTAATGATTCTATGAATACTACAGCATCTGCAGTTTGGGATATTTGCTTCAGCTTAATAAAACTGCTCAGCTGCAAACTTTTCATGAAAAAGGAAGGATCACTCAGAGAGAAGAGTCAAGATCCCAGAGGGGAACCACTGCTATGAAAATAAATGAAATATTTTTGGTCAAAGTTTCCAGACCAAGGTAATAAAGAAAACCTATAGCTGTAACTACTTAAAATTGCTTAACTATATATTAATAGATTGAGAGAGGAAATAGAGGGATGGAGGAGGGTGATAGAGAGATTGTATGCATGTATCCATATATAATTTTCAAGAAAAATAATTGTCAAAGATCAATCAAAGAGGGACCAGAAAAGAAGATGGTAAAAACATGAACTTAATGGCTGCCCTGTGGGCTATTATCAGGATCTCTATCCTACAGACTTTTGTTACATGTTGTTTGCTAATACTCAGTACCTTCTCACTCATTTGAAGTACTTTTTAACAGCATAAAGGATCAAAAAACCTGAAAACTACATTTCTCATACTTCCTCTCCAGTAGGGTTCTGGACAGTGTCATATAATTAAAAGAAGTGTCTTTGGACATGAAGATATGAAAGTGAAGTTTTTCTAAACCTTCTGGGTACCCTCCTATGAATCAGCATTTTAGATTGGTAGGAACAGATTCTAGCCCTTCCAATATGTATGAAAAACCTCATTTACTGTACTCAATATCCTTGTATTTAAAACATTTACACCAGTTTTTGTTTTCTTAAATAATTGATAACTGATACAATATTTGGTTAAGAAATGTGACTCTTGATAGAAATCTATGATTATTTATTTAATTTGGTTAAAATTAAAAACATAAAAAAGCTGCCAAAAGACAATGACATGCTGGTAATTCATGACAGATAGCTTCAGTTATAAAACCAATTATTTGACTCATCATCTTTCCGAGAAACATTTTTAGAGACAAACTGGTTTTTGTATTAGAGTATTATGAAGAAAATAATGATTATAAATACAGTTGGGTTAGCCCAGTCTTACTGCACTAGGGAGCTTATGAAAAGAAAATGACAGACTCAAGATGTGAAATTCATAAGTCAGAGATTAGACAATTTCTTTACTGCCTAGGTAAGATTTCTTATCTATTGCAAGCACAGGATCAGTGATCAGAAAACTAGACCTAAGTTTGATCTTAGAGTTTGCAGAATTATAGCCCATGAATTCAAAGCATCCCCAGGTTTCTTACTGAAAATTAGAATCTCTTATTTTCCAAGAAAGTGGGAGCCTTAAAATTGGATTGAATGTAGTTGGGAAGATTCTAATAATTATTTAACACTTAAACTCTTAACAAAGGTAATCTTTCCTCCTCTGTTTGTGGTGGTTTGCCTCTCTGCTCTTGAATACCCTGAAAATACTTGACTTGTGAAGGTTACATTGGAGCAGGGTGATAAATCCTGGGGATTATGTATGAGAATGGATTCTAAAAGTGTTAGAACAGGGAGGAAATTGCACAACACTTGATCAGGCTGAATTTATAATGATGGCTTAAATTAAATGAAGATACAAGGCCAAAATATAAAAGAATTTATTGAATCTTAGGTGGGTAGGAATCTGAGCATTTGCCACATGTGACAGGCTCAACTGTAGCCCAACAATGTAAATTTGATGACTTGTAAGATAGCCTTATCAAGCATATATATATTTCTATATATAAATATATAGAAATAAAGAGAGCTCCAGCATTTGTAGAAAATACAAAAAACTGCTATATTATGAAAGGCAAACATTTTGGTGGAGATGTCAGCATTGAAGTGAATTTTCTGGGCTTTAGGGTTTGAGGGTGATGAGATCCTGGAATCATAGAGTACAAGTGACAGCACCCTATAAAATAATAGGGAACAGGGCAAATTATGGTATTCAATGATATGTTCTATTGACAGTATTATCAGTGGACTATCTAGTAAAATATTGCTCAATCTGTATACTAAAAAAAAAAAAAAATCTAGATCTGGTGGAAGAGTTTTAACATAAGTCATCGTAATAGAGAATCAATGTCCCACATTGAATTTCCAGACTTGAGCTTGCTCATACATGTGGAGTCTCTTGAATGATATAAAAGCTGAATCACTTTTAGGAAGGATCTTGATGCACTGAAACAAGTATGTACTTAATTTCTCCTCAACTTTCCTAAAGTATTCTGTAGCATTTAAGGTGACAACTGTGCTGGGAAAAAATCCCAGACAAAACAGGATTCCTGGTCACAGCTAAAAATTTACAATAATCCCTGGATACCTCAACTGCCATTTTGATCTACAGTCACAGAGGAAATGTATGAGGGCCAAGTGATTGATAAAGTCATGGGATGAATCTATTTTATAATGGATATGGATGATTTACAAATATACCCTTTGATTTTCTCCCAGTTCCTGAATACAAAGTTGAAAGTAGCCTTACTCAGCAACTGGTTAAATGGATAACTGGTCCTGAGACATACAAAATAAGGGCTATGTGGTAGGATGATCTAAGTAGAAACCACTGGATCTGCCACTGCAGAGCAAAATAGTAAACTAAAAGCGAATATTGCATTCCTGGGGTAATTGTTGAGAATACTACAATCATGGTGGAATTACAAAATGCCAATCATAAAATCAAATTTTTAAAACAGTGCAAGAAAAAAATCCGATTAAGTACAAAGCAATGACAATTAGATCTATATAGACTTCTCATTAGCAATATGCCAAAGACTATCTAATAATACCTTTAAAATGCTTAATTGAAATAAATGTTAATCTAGAATGGCGTATGTGGCTAAACATTCATGAATGGAAATGAAATACAGATGTTTTAAGCAAAAAAAGTAAGTAAATGAGTTTATTACCTAAATGCCTTAACAAATAATACTTCTAAAGAACGGCATTTGGGCAGAAAGAAAACATAATAAAAGAAAGGTTTAGAAACAGAAGGGAATGTTGAACGGATTATTTTGTGGAGGGCAATTTTATGTGATCTCCTAAAGCTGAGAACTGAGACTATTTTTCCTATAATGCTAAAAGCTCTTCTCTTCTAATGTGAGCAACTGATGTGAAATGAGCACATAAATGTAAAAAGGAGACAGTCTCTCTTATCCAATGGAATATCAAAAATACAGAAATCTGTTTTGCCATTTAATTTCACACAGTTTAATTTTCTATACTTTTCTTCACTTACCATGGAACCCCGTGGTTTTCATTTCTATGTGCTACCGTAAATGACAGATTACTTCTTAGCATTGTCACCTCATCTTAAGTTTTATAAATCTGTATGTGGCACTTTGCTTCACAGTGGTGCTAGTTGTAATACTTCCTTTGGCAGGTGTTTGAGCTAGAATCACTTTAGCGGAATCACTTAGTTTTCACTGTGTATATCTCTAAACCACAATAACACAAGAAAGCCAGCATGCAAATAGCCAATGTTTTCCCCCAAATTTTGTCTTTTCATAGGTTTTGGCTTATTCATGTTCATATTAAATTTTTTGCCTCAAATGACTATGCAAACTTCATTTTTGACAGTTCTTTCCTAGATGATCATGGTCTAATTTTTGTTCCCTTTCTTTTGATTATTTCAGGTATAAATGGCACTTGATAATTTTATTTTTACTACTTATTTGTTATGTATAATAACTTTCACCTAAGTATAGAAAAATGGAACTTACAACAGGTGAATATAAGGGAAACAGTTATATCATGTTGCATTATAAGCTAATAATTTGTTTTTTTAAATTCTTCAAACAAAAGGAAATATACAGTCCTGTAAAATACTTCACACATTTAGCCACATATTTTACAACATGCATTTCAAGTTGACCGTAATTCTGTTCTCCCAAGTCTAACTCTATTTGCAAACGATTCATTTCTTATCACCTTTTCAAGTTTGTTTACCATAATCCTTATTTTAATTAAATAAAAATCACAACCCAGTATTACTTTGGCCAGAACTGGTATTCAGATGAAAACAAAATATGCACATTTTTGTCCCAGGGCAGTGTGAAATATATCATTGTTTGACAGAATACCTGCTAATTGTTAGGATAGCTTGGGTTACGGATAATGGCAAAGTGAATATTTTTAAAAAAGGCTATCTGACCTGGGACTTATTATCTTCGAGAAAATGTTCAGCTCTGTCATTCCAAAGATTACAACTAAGCAGTGCAAATTGGTCAGTATCTCAAGGGGGGAAATATGTATGTTTTACTGTTAGAAGGTCAATGTTATCGTCTTTTTAGCAGAAGGATAGCAAAATTATAAAATGAAGGAGGCCTTATTACATAAAGTTTTGGTTGGTTTCACAAACTGTAAGTTTTCAGTAATTTGATGGTATAGTTGCATAATTATAATAGTGTCTTAAGTTGATTGCTTTGGAAGATGGATTATGATGTATCTGAGTTGAATCCTTTAGATAAATTCCATTAATTTGACTTGCTGAACACCAAAGGCCATGTAACTTGAGATTAAGAAGGCATTATGATACCAGTTATTATAGTTTCTTCCAAGATATATACCACTTCATTTACTGGAAAGTCAAATACTAACCAGGAAAAAGGTCAAGATGTAACAGAAGTAATTATTTTCACTTGCACAAGCACTAATGAAAGGATGAACGTAAATACCATATCTCATTCTCTAGCCACACTGTGTTGCAGGGCCATAGTCATATATCTGAAATGACACATTTCCAGATATTTCACACAATAAGGTCCTGCACTATCAGCTAAGTTATTAAGTCACCTCATAAACTTCTTACATGAAAGATATATTGAGCAGTCCATCTTTGATACAGAGTATTTGGGATTGAAATATCAGCATGCATCCTGATCCCTGATCTTTGGACTGGCTATTAATTATATTATACAGATAACATTTTTTCCCACATGCTCACAGTGCAAGTGTGTTTTTTTAAAAAATCAGAGATGTATTATTGAATGACAGTATTTGAATAGCATCTAAAATTATAGAACTCTTTGTATAATCGCACCCTAGAAAGGGCAGCTCTTTTTTTAATGCCAGTTTCATACAGACATGAGAACAGATTTAATCTTCAAAGTTTTAATCAAACCTGTGGGATGTCCTTTAACTAGCTTTCCTTACTTGTCAAATTATAGTTCTCCTTTATTATCCTTGGAGAGTAAGATACTTGATTCCTGTGGTTCTTAATTGT
Organism: Homo sapiens; assembly: GCF_000001405.40. Taxonomy (NCBI): domain Eukaryota; kingdom Metazoa; phylum Chordata; class Mammalia; order Primates; family Hominidae; genus Homo; species Homo sapiens. The sequence goes on from NW_015148967.1 coordinate 271,835, forward strand.
CTCTTTCCAAACTACTAAGGAAAATTAAAGACTTTTCATATCACTAGAAAAATATGATGTAGGCTAGCTTGACTAATACATATGAACACAGTTTAAAAAGAAAGCAGAGCAACAAGAGTAAAACATCCATTTAGAATGTGCACAATTTAAATGCTACGTTTAATATGTGTGCTTTAATAGATTGCAAAAAGCCATATCATCTGTATAATATATTATCTTAATTTAAGAATTATAGGCATTTTTACAAATGTCCTAACATATTATTATGTATTAGGGCATGGCTTTCCTAACTATTGTATTAGAATAATTTATACAAATTTATATTCCAAATGTGTGTCACTCTGAATATTATAAATCCCAATATTCTCTATGGTCAATGAGAATTATTAATAAAATGATAAAAGGGTACTATGATGATTATATATTAGCTACTAAGAGTTTGATCCAGATTACTTCCAATATTTTAATATAAAATCACTTTTGCTCTTTTAGTCAGAACAAATGGTATATGGTTTTGCCAAATTAGATATCTCTTCTTTTATGCATCTTTATTGTTTTATATTTATATATGTAAATTTATTCATTCATACAATGTTTATTTCATAAGCAATAAAACAGATACTGTTCCTTATTTATAGAGCCTATATTTGGGTGAAAATAAACAAATAATAAGTAAATAAACAAGATATATGAAATGACCAATCGTGAGAGATTGATTTAAAATAAGTGAAATAAGGAGGGCAGATGGAGAAATCCAAGGATACAAACCCCTGATAAATTGATATTTGTACAGAAATTTTTAAAAGGAAGTGAGTGGATCACACTACACTTTAGGCAGAGGAATTGACAATTAAATGCTGCAAACTGGAAATATACACAGGGTGATCAACGAAGAGCAAAAAAGCAACATGGATGGAAAGTGAGTGAAGGAAGAAGAAAATGAAATTAGTTGTGGGAGTAACAAAAGGCCCAGACTTTCTAGAATGCAGCTGGGCATGTTAAGGAATTTGAATGTGATTCTAAATGAGAAAAGAAGTTACTGGAAGTTTCCAAGCAAAGAAATGACATTAGCTGACAAATATTCTAAGGCATATTTGCTGCTCAAGGTAGGGGTGGAGGTCAAGGGAAGTGTCTGAAGGCCTTTGACAAAACCTAAACCAAAATGTATGGTGGTTTAGAACATGGAAATAGTGATGGAAACAATGGGCATGGTTGGATTAAGAATACATTTTGAGTTAATAATAGTGAGGTTTGTTGATGTATTTAATTGAGGATATGGATGTGGGATGAGAAAACAGAGGCATAGCATAGAAAAAGACCTTTCAAATTTACGAATCCAGTTAAATGCATAGTCAACTTGGAACACAGGTAGCCTGGCTTTGGGCCAGCTAACCAAATCATGCTAATAGAGACAGGACATCATCACGAAGAGGGCAGCTGAAGATAATGAGCATACATATCTATCAGAGTTAATGCATACAAAAAATTCTTTCAGTTATTTTAATTTAAATGAAAAGTATCATTTAAGTCTAAACATATCCAATGTCTACCAATATATGTCTGAGTAGTGTGTAATTTTGTTTTCTCCATGCATTCAGTTATTAAACATTTATCACATGCAAGAAACTCTATTGAAACTTTAATAGATTTTTTTAAACCCAAAGAAGGAAAATCTTACTAAAAGAGACAAAATACATCCTTGATTGATTATTGACATTAAATTGAATGTTTAATATGAGAAATCATAGAATATACCAGGTTATTTGAGTAACTCAATCTTGATAGATAACTCCATGACCGAAGAGGGGCTAAAATTCTTTTGTATACTTCTGGAAAGCTAAGGATTTGTAGCAGACAGACTGCTAAAATTGTCATGAATGATCTTTACGTCCTGGTATTCTTTCCCTTGTGTAATTCCATACCCTTGAGTGTGGGCTGGAACTAGTAGTTTGGTTCTAATGACTAGAACACAGTAAAGGTGATGGGATGACACTACTGATATTAGGTTACAGGTGACTAAGACTTGCATATATTTGGAACCATCTTTCTTGAACTCTTTCTTGCCCACTCACTTGCTGCTCCAATGAAGCCAATGTGAGCTGCCTGATTTGGAAGATGTCCATTTGGTGAAAAATCGAGGAAAACATTGTGCCACAAGTTCAGGAGGAACGGAGACCCTCAGTTCAGCAATCAGCAAGTAACTATTTCTGGTGAACAACATGTTAAGGAAATTTAAAATTTATCTACCACTAGTCAAGTAGTCAAGTCTTAAACTGATTTCAGCCCCAGCCAACACCTAGACTGTAACCTTCAGAAGACCCAGTCCTGGGACCCATGGAAGCCTCATCTGGACTCCTAATCCATAGACACCATGAGACAATACTGTTTTTTTTAAGTTGCTAAGTTGAGGGGTAATATGTTATGCAGCAATAGATTACTAATTTAGGCTTTGTGTATTTCCTCAGCAACTTCTGCAGAAAAAAATAAAAGAAGCATTTTTAGTTACTCACCGCTGAAACTTTCCCTAAAACCTAATGACTGAAAACAACAATCATTTTATTATAGCTCATAATTTTGCAGGCCAAGCATTCTGGAAATTCTCACTGGAATGATTTTTCTGCTTCAAGTAGCATTGACCAGTGTCACTTGGTGACATTCAATGCGTGGTGTGGTCTGGAGAGTCTAATATGACTTCTCTCACATACCTAGCTGTCTGCTGATGATGATAGAAAAGCTGGACTTACCTGGGGGCTGTCTTCCTTTCTGTGTGCTCCCCAAGATTCATGATATCTCTGCAGGAAGGTAGTTGGGCTACTCACAGGGAGACACAGGGCTCCAAGTAACAGGAAGAGAGAGCTTCTGGTCCAAGGCAGAAACTAAGAGCATTATTTCTGCTGTATGCCATTCCATCCCATTGTTCAAAGAAGATACAGGGAATACCTCAGCATCACGCTGTCAATGGAAATATATTAAAGAATTACTAGACAACTTCAATTACCCACAAATATTTAGGAATACTAAATTTCTCCAGAAACAATGCGGACTACTATTTTTTTTCTGTCTCAAAAAAAAGTTATTTTGTTTTGTGGAGTCCATATAGGTCTGGAGACTACAAAAATGGAAGAACTATAATAATTTAAAAACCTTTCATCACTTCTGTGACTAAAATTTAACACCCACTTTGGAATCTTTTTCAAAATTTCTTTATAGTTTGACTCCATATCCCTTTTGGAGGGTTATTTCTACGTAAAGAGATATTTGTAAATTAGATAGAACACGCAAAGTTTACATACATGTGATCTTGCCAAATACAGAACATAAACATTCAAATTATCAATATTAGTCTGAAAACCTACTTTAAAGTACCATTTGATCCAGCCATCTATCAGTGATCAATAGAAATATTAATAGCCTAAGTAATTATTTATTGCCTGTGGCCAATTCTAGGTGCAAAGCGACAGTTATGGTCTATGGTATTGATGTACAAAACTCCCTATATAACTTCATACTTTATCAAAAGTATTATGTAACAGGTAAAGTCAGCCCCACTTATGCAAAATAATCCATCAGTTGTCCTTGGTTGGAGGTAGCTTTCCTAATTTCTCTGATTGATTTTTACAAAACTTAGAATATCATGTAAATATTTCTATTTTCACCATAAATTGTGGGACTTTATCTAAAACTATTTAGGCAGAGGACTCCAAATATCATTCCTATGCTGAACATAGACCCCAAAATAAGGAAAGACAGTTCTAAACTTGTTATAAATAGAGATCATGCATGCTACAACATCATTTTTACAGATTAGTAACAGAGCAACTTTAATTTCTTGTTTCTTGACCCTTGCTAACATGGTTTTGAAATCATTCAGAAAACCCTCCTAGTAAGGAACTTGGGAAGCTATACTGCAGCTGTCAGATGACCAATTGCATGGAAAATTGAAATAGATGGGGAAAAGTATTTCCACTGAATGATTTTCACCAGAGTGTGGTAATCACCTTGGTAATGTTTGGCTAATGCCCTTCTTTTCTCCATTACCTTCCATCAACTTCCATCATGCTTCACTTCCTTTCCAAGGCTCAGGGTGTCTCTCACTCCTCCCTATACCAATTTCATTTGGTACCAGTCTATTTCACATAATTCCAACACTTTGTGCTCATCAACTTAGGCTATATTTCCAAATATCTTACATTATAAGAAAGCTAGAGCACTATTTCATTTCCTCATTCAGGCTTTGAATACATCCTCAAAATTAATGAACAAGGGAAGAGCATATAATAAGAAAAAAAATACCTAAAACCAAATACAAAAATTAGAAATGCTCATTAAAATAATAGCTCAAATAAAACATACAAAGCAAAGAAAAAATTCACCAATTCTAGTTAACTGAACACATCAGAGCAAGGTTATATGAGAGAGTAGATGGCAACCTGTTGATCATTTAGACTTGATTTCAAACTGCCCATTTTATCTTGTAAAGTCCATAGGAGATCTTAGGGAGTATTAAAATCCTTGGTCCAAATACTGTAATATAAAAAATCTCTTCAACCCTAAAAGAGTTGTTTGAAGATTGTGTTAAATTTAAATTACCAATAGAGAAGTCTTATTCACTACAAAATTGACTCATTGATCAAACATCTAATAAGTACATAAATAAAGGTGCCAGAGAAATATGTTTGGTTTGAGAATACAAAAATGAACAAAACGTAATCATTATACCCTTAAATCTTACAGTCTACTGTGAGATTTAAATTATATTAGAAATATGCTACATCTGCATTTGCTGATGTTTTATAATTATTAAATGTAATTATTTCTTGTTTTCTAAATCAGATTTTAAACCTCAAGAGTAATTATTTTAAACTGTACGCATATTGTATATCATGACACTCGTCTACTTCTTCAAACTATCAGGATACATTATCTATTACAGTACAGAAGAGAGTGAGAATCTGCAATTCCCTTAACCTCCCTTCCAATATGTATCTGAATTGGAGTTTTCCAAGAAGAGGAAATCTCTAGAGATTTGAAAGATTAAGAAAAAAGGATCCATATTTTCCCCCAGTGGCAGTAGCAAGCTTACTTTTGGGCAGGATTAAGATTCACAAGAGCTTTCTTGCTAGGACTTAAGAAACATCTACTCTGCTGCTGCCCTTTGTGAGAGTTAACAATGAGCATTTTGGAGATTCTTCAGACTTTCAGATGCATTTTATGAGATATAGTAAAACACTAAGTTTAGTGCTACAAGCTGATTTGAGTGGCTGATTGCTTCCTCTGTCCTTCCAAGGACCAAGAAAACAGAAGCTTTCTTACATTAAAATATGTAGTACCTAGAATACATAGAGTGAATTTTGTTTTCCTGAAGGAACACTGATTTTTACACTTCCCCAACCTAGTGTAATTCAATAACTATAATAATTAGAACATGCCAAGTGATAATTAGAATAACCTTAAAAACAAAAGCAGGAATGGTCAGACCTGCTAAAGACTCAACTCTATATTGTCTACAAGAAACCACTTTAAATAACAATATATAATATATATTATAGAATATATACTTTAAATATTATGTGTTATTTATATATAATAATAGTATATATTTTATATAAGTAATTATATTCATATAACCTACTCAGATAGGTAAAATGTAAAAGGATGAAAAAACTACACTATACTAACAGTAATTAATCAAAAGAAAGCTAGAAACTGGGCCTGATGGCCTGTGCCTATAGTTCGAGTAACTCAGGAGGCTGAGGCAGCAGGATTTCTTGAGCTCAGGAGTTCAAGGCTTTATACAACACAGCCAAGTGAGATTTATCCAAGTATGCAAGATTTGTTCAAAATTCCACATTTAATTAATAAAATTCACAATATCAACAGGCTATAAAGAAAGAAAAAATCATATAATCGTGTCAATTTAATCAGAAAAGGCATCTGCCAAAACCCAACACCAATTATGACAAAAACTCTCAGAAACTAGAAATAGAAGAGGAACTTACTAGAAATAAAGAACTCCTACAGAAACGGTGGAAAACTGAACCCTCACCCCTAAAGATCTAAAACAGGTCAGGGAAGCCCTCTCTTTCCGTTGTTCTGGGCATCTTAGCTGCTGCAATCAGAAGACGGAAGTCAATAAAAAGTACACAAATTGGGAAGGAAGAAACAAAACAGTCAAGTTTTATCGCATGATATCTAGGTAGATCATTTCAAGGAATATACTGAAAACAGAAACAAAAACAAAACTTCTGGACCTGAAAGCATGTAAAGTTTTTAAACAAAATTCAATTGCTTTCTATATACCAGTCATAAATAATTATAATTTGAAACTTTAAGAAAATTAATACCATTTATAATAGTACCAAAATTTGAAATACTTAGGTATAAATCTAAAACAAGAACGTTGTCTGTATATGAAAAACTATAAAACTCTTATGAAATAAATTTTTAAAGCTCTAAATAAATGGAAAGATACTCCATGAATGAAGTTTGGAAGAATCAATATTTTTAGGATGTCAGTTCTTTCCAATTTTATTGACATGTTCAATGAAATTCCAATCAAAATTCTAGCAAGTTATTATGAAGGTATCAAGAAACTGACTCTTAAGTTTATCTGGAATTATAACAACTAAACTAGCCATCACAATACTGAGAACAGAGTTGGGAGTTCTCATACAATCTGGTTTCAAAACTTACTACACAGCTACACTAATCAAGATAGAGTGGCATTGGCAAAAGAATACACAATGAAGCAGAATAAAGACCTACACAAATAGAGTCAACTCATTGTTGACAGAAAAACAGAGGTAATTCAATACAGAAAGAATAGTCTCTTCAACAAATGATGTTGGAATCTTATTATGTATACATAGAAAAAAATCCTATATAACTTTATACCTTCCACAAAATTAATAGATATTGATCATAGGCCTACAGGTTAAAAAAAAAACTGTAAAAGTTTTAAACTAAGCATAGGGGAAAAATGAGGTAGTCTTCTGTTTAGTGATGAGTTTTAGATATAATACCAAAAGCACAATTTATGAAAGAAAAAAATGATAGGCTGGATCTTATTAAAATTAAAATGTATTATCTGTGACATACACTGGCAAGCAAATAAAAAATCAAGCCATAGACTGAGAGAAAATATTTGCAAAACACATATATGATAAAGGACTTGCACATAAAGATGGGAATAATAGACACTGAGACTCCAAAAGGAGGGAAGGAGAGGGAAAATAAGTGTTGAAAAACTATCTATTGGGTACCATATTCACCATCTGGGTGATGGGTTTCATTGGAGCCCAAACCTCAGCATCTCACAATATATCCATGTAACAAACCTGCACATATACCCCCTGAATCTAAATTTTTTTAAAAAAAAGCAAAAGAGCATTTAACAAACTATACAAAAAAACTTTTAAAACTCACCAATAAGAAAAGCAACAACTCAGTTGTTTTTAAATGGGCAAATATATGAACAAACATTTAATCAAAGAAGATATACAGATGGCACATAGACATTTAAAATTGTTCAACATCATTATCATTTAGAAATTGTACATCACAACAACAATGACATACTACTACACAACTATTAGAATAGCTAAAATCCAAAAATGAAGAACAGAAAATGTATTGCCAGCTGGGATGCAAAATGGTGCAATCACATTGAGAGACAGTTTGGCAGTTTATTATCGAGTTAAACATAGTCTTACCACACAACCAGAAATAGAACGCGTACATATTTATCCCACTGATTTGAAATGTATGTCTACATTAAACTGCACATGAATGCTCCTAGCAGCTTTGTGATGGCCAAAAACTGGAAGCAGGAAAGATGTTTGTCAATAGGTGGATAGATAAACAAACTGTACTACATTCAAACAATGGATTACAATTCAGAGTTAAAAAAATGACCTATCAAGATCATGCAAAAAGGCATGGAAAAATCTTAAATGCATATTGCTAAGTGAAATAAGTAAGTCTGGAAAGGCTACTACCATGTGATTGCAACTATATGACACTGGAAAAAGTGTATATAGTGTATATAGATGGTACAAAGACGGTAGTTGGCAGGAGTTTATGGTAAAGAAGAAAGATTTGAATAGGTGAAGTGCAAAAGGCTTTTTTAGGGTGGTGAAACTATTCCATATGATATTATACTGGTGGTTATGTGACAGTATGTATTTTCTTATAGTCATAGAACTTTAGAGCATAAAGAATGAACATTAATGAACACAAATTTTAAAAAATCCCTTTGGAGACTGGAGGATTCCAACATGGAATGAAGAATGTAACATGTCAATCTGACTTATATGTGAATGAAATAACTTTTCTGAAGTGGTTAGGGGAAATAAGTACTAGCCTGAGTTTCTTTAGAAGTGTGTAGAATTTGTAAGTATAAAAGCAAAACAAACAAAAAAGCCACAAAGGCTGTACATAATCACTATAAGAGTTTTTCCCATGGTGTATGGGGTTAACAATCCTGATACTAATATGCATCTATACTAAACAATTAAGTAAATGGATGATGGATGGTGGGAATTTATATAAAAGGAAGGGCAGGAGGCTAGAATGTTCCATGTGGTAATGGATTCGAGTGGAAGATATTGTATTAAATCATGCTTAGTTAATATAGATACAGATGATTACATATAGAAATATTTAAGAATATGTGTAGATACATTCATTAGTATACACATATATTTCCTTGCTCTGTCAGCTAAAAGGGCCTCAAAGCAAAGAGGCCGCAGTGGCAATAAGCATACCTAGCACTCTGATCTCGCTTTCTAGATTTATTCTAAAATAAAAGGAACAAGAATCCTTGGAGAAATGGCCGATTCTAACCTGGAGGAAGAGGAAGAAAATCCACAATGATGTAGGATAGTCAAAGAGACATAGGAGTCAACAGAAAGATCTCAGAATGGCCAACAGTTTGAGAAACAAATGAATAACATAATATTGATTATAACTGAAAATGTTAAATAATTATTAGTTTGTATTGATATTAATTAATTAAAATAAGTAGAGGTGAAGAGATAAATCTCCCATGCAGAAGAATTCCAAATAATTTATGCAGCTATTCTGCCCTCAAGGGAGAAGAGCATAATTTCCCAATCATTAAGTATGAGCTGTGCAATGGTGACCTCCACTCAAATATTATAGTAGAAAATGGGTTTAAGAAGAGTAACTTTATAATAGAGAAATCTAGCAAGCACTACCTCAGCCAAATCATCAAGGTCAACATCAACATTGATAGGTCATTTTGATAGTATGTACCCTTAATACATGAGATGATGAAAATGGTACTTTAATCCCACTCTCATCATGAGAAAAATATAAAATACCTGACCAGTATTCCTCAAAACTCTCAAGGTCATAAAAAAAAACATAAGAAATTTCAGAAATTGTCACAGACAAGTGATGTCTAAAGAGACATGACAAACAAATGGGATGTGATATCCTGGATGAAATCCTGAAAGAAATAAAGAACAATAGCTAAAAGCTAAGAATATCTGAGTGAAGAATGGACTTAAATTAGTCATAATGTATTAATATTGGTTCCATAATTGTAACAAAAGTAGCATATACATGTCAAATATTAATAATAGGGGGAAACTGAGTGTGGAGTATGTGATAATTCTCTGTATTATCTTCGTAATTTTTATGGAAGTCTAACATTATTCTAAGATAAAAAGATTTATTTCCAAAACACAAATATTAAATTTAGTCAATGTATAATATAGAAAAATAACTAATTGAACCATAGCCCCTTTTCATAAACATATTTGCTCTCAGAATAGCATGCAACTAACCTTACACATATTCAACAATCCATATAGCCTATTTCAGGATACACAAAAGTTTATAAAGTAACTTAAGGATGGGAAATTCACGACATTTTTATAAAACCAAACTCTCTCTCTCTCTCTCTCTATATATATATATGTGTGTGTGTGTGTGTGTATATATACACATATATTCATATATATGTGTGTGTATATATACACATATATTCATATATGTGTCTGTATATATGTGTGTATATATGTGTATATATATGTATATATACACATATATACGTGTGTGTGTATATATATGTGTGTGCGTATATATGTATATGTGTGTGTGTGTGTATGTGTATGTGTGTGTGTGTGTGTGTGTGTATATATATATATATATATATATATATCTCCAGTGGAGAATAACACAAAGCAGATTAGATTATAATACAAAAAATCAGGTTTAAAATCCTTGACATCATGGATAACAATGCAATTTAGCATAAAATTACTTATTATTTAGAATAACTGTCATAAACAGCACATGATTTTTCAAAGGTGTTCCAAAAAAATCCAAATCCCATGTAATGTCACATGATTAAATAATTTGTGGAAATTAAATTGCTACATCCTATATTCTATTTTTGAAGTTTCACTATATATTAACTACCTGATAAAGATTTAAATCGCTTAATAAAGATTTTTATCAATGTGCCAATAAAGAACTGCATTGTTCAACTATGCCTGGATTTTATCCAGGCACTCCCTAGAAATATTTGATTATGCAAATCTGTTTTTTTTTTGCATATACCCTAGATATTTCTTTAAAAAGTAATATATCCACAGATACATTTAGCAAAATATAAACAAACAAAAATTCCTGCAATTATGTGCATGAAAAAAAGGACATGATTACATAAAATGAAAATTCAGATACAAAATATCTTGGCATATCATATTATTACATGTATTTTCAAGTTATAAAAGGAAGAGTTTTTAAAAATGAAGATGTGTAATGAATATTGACTAACATTTTTAAACCATTATGTAGTCCCATATTGAACAAAGACAACATGTTATTTATAAAACTGTTAAATTAATTTTATAGTTTGTTTCCACTTTAATGTTCTATGAAATTATTTTATTGTACTTTTGAAACATGTCTGTGATTTCTGAAATAAATGATACATGAACAAGACTTCATGTTCTATAATTATTCTTATTATAACAGACCCTTAGTATTAAGAAAATCAAGTATTCTCAATTCATAGTAAGTTAGCCTAGGGCTATGAGAAAAAAAATTAAACTGGGCAGCAAATTAATGTGCTTTTTATAAGACAATACATTTCACAATGTCTCTAAGGAACTATTTATCCATTACTGAAAAGCAGAGAGAATAAACCCCCTTAAACTCTCATACCAATATGCAAATGCAGATTTGTGTGGAACAAAAATAAAATTTTCTTCAGGCTAGACCTAACATTTCTGTGATTAAAAAAATATTTAAAATAAAAAGCAGGTATATGTGTCTTTCATAATATCTAGTCTCCATTATTGTTTTTTCCTGTAAGATTGTTTGAAATGTTTAGTGAGTGTATATACTTTCATGTTTTACTGAAACATTTTGAAAGCATTTTTTTAATTTTATATTATGTAAGACAAAATAAATTCCTACTTAACAAGTGACTTCCTGTGATTGGCCATTACTGAATATTTATTGAGTAGCTCTACTATTTAAACAAAACAGCCCTGCAAGCCAAAGACTCCTTTTGGTGAGTCAAACAGTGAAAACAAGTTCTTAGTGAGAAATTTAAATCATTTGGGAATGCTTCAAAGGTCAAGGGAAGGATTACATTGTAAAGTGCCAAAGAAGCTTCACATTAGCCATATGTGAGATCAGATTTTTCTGCAACAAACTAATTTTATGTTCTTGGACAAGTTATTAAAATATTGCGATCAATCTGGCCCCTCATTATTGCTCTTGGACAAACAAAGTGCTGGGAAATCTAGTAAAGATAGCAATTAATATGATTTATAAAATTTTAGTGAAATAATTCATTCCATGCTGCCCACTGGACTCGTTTAATAAACAATGTGAAATATCAAACTGGGCTCAAGGGAGAAAATTTTGATATACATTTTAATATAAAAACATTAAAGTTACCATGTGTGAGACCAGTCCTATATATGAATCCTTGATATAATTCTTATTGAAGGACATAATCCTTAATGAAAAGAGAATGATAGGAAATCATTGAGTTTAAAAATATTTTAGTTAGTGTGGATATTGTAAACAAAGGCCATAGTAAACAAGCACTTTAAACACATTATTGAATAATTTTTAACGGCAAAATTATAAATTTGAACCACGCTAGATGTTAGTGAGCCTGTGTTTAAAGTCCTCTGTTATATATTACAGGTTACATGTCTATGAATTAAAATATCCTCTTTAGGAAACAATTTGGAATTATCCTGCAAAACTACTCACATAGCGCCTACACCAACAATTCTATTCTTAAGTATGTAACAGGAGAAATTCCTACATATCTGCAAATGAGGTAGACATAAATTGGTTCATAATAGCACTGTTTATAATAGTTAAATAAAAAGAAAAGAATCCAAAGGCCATTGGCATAACAATATTTTGAATTAAATAAGCAAATCTAAAAAGATTGCATAAAACATTCCTTTTAATAAAGATCAAAAACAATAGGTAAACAATATAATATTTAAGCAAACCATATCTGTGGTCACACTATTTTTAAAGTCCACTATTTAAAAAATATATTAAAAGTATACTATTGAATATCCAGGACATAAGAATGAGAGTGAAGTAGGACAGCCTAGAGAAAGATCAAATAGGTAAAAGTAAGATATTGTCAACATTCCAGTACACAAGCATACCACAGACAGTGAACAAGTAAACAGAAAAATAAAAAATAGGTCATCCACTGTATTATACAAACTATAGGACATTCTGGAAAAGCAAAACTATGGAAACAATTAAAAGATCAGTGGTTGCCAAGGTGGGAAAAGAGAGGAAGGGACTAATAGGCAGAACACAGAGATCTTTTAGGGCAATGAAACTATTCTGGATGTTGCTATTAAAGATGCATACCTGTCATAATACATTTATCAAAACCCATAGAATGTATAACATCAAGAATAAACCCTAATACAAACTATGGACTATGAGTGATAATGTGTCAATGTAAATTAATCACTTAAAACAGATGTAGCTCTCTGATGGGGAATGTTGAAAGTGAAGGGTGCATATGGGCAATGGGGTGGTAGGAAGTATATGGGGATTCTTTGTGCTTTCTTCAGTTTGCTTTGAAACTACAATTGATCTAAAAGACAAAGTCCATTAGAAAAAATATACAATATGTCATCCTATGTCAATGATGACAGCACATCTTGAACAACAAATTCACTTCTGAAGAACTAATTTCTACTTTAAAACTCACCAGACTAATTTATGAAATTATAAAGTAAAAAAGAAAATCAAATGATTATCTTGAAAATGCAGAAAATTAATAAAAAAATAAATTATCATTTATTATTTAAAAATCAGAAGAAACCAGGAACAGATGGGAACATTCTTTATATTACATTTGATATGATAACATACATATATTATAATTCACACTTAATTTTGAAATACTTATAACACTCTCCTTAAACTCAAAAGGCAACATTATTTTTTACTCTTACTATGCATATTCAACATTATATGGTCAAGCCAGTAATTTCACAGAAACAAAATAACTCAAATATATAAGAATAGGAAAAAATTAAAGAAGCCAATTATAATTTTCTTCATATAAAATATTAATTTGTCTCAAAATTACTAATAGTGATAGCAAACTCTATTGGGTCAGAAGCTGAATCAAACAACGTGCATACAATGTATGAATAAAACTATATTTACAAAGAAATAAAAAATAAATATCTGCTCCATGGACCTGGATCAATTCTAGTTAGATTTGATTACCTAAATTTGAAAAGCAAACTTTTAAAATTTTGGAAGAAAGTATATCAGTAAAGACCTCAGGAGGTGTCTTAAAGAGGGTGAAAACAGGACAAGTGAAAAAAAGAAAAAATAATAATAAATATAATTATATCATAACTTTTTGCATAAAATATTGTCTATATAGAAGCTAAAGACTATCAAAGATATTTTGAAATGAGTACAAACAACAGAAAACTGGTATCCAAAACAGATAATCACTAGGATTAATAAAAGGTAAAATGGTCCCCCAAAAAAGACAGCAAAGAATATGAAAAAGTAATTTATGAAATTTAAGAAAGGATCATAAAGATAGTAACCAAGGAAATGCAAATGTAACCACAGTTAGACACTATCTCAAATCTAGCAAACTGACTAAAATATTAAGAGCTGACAATTTCTGCCACTGCCAAGAATGTTGAGTAATTGGAACTGTTTTCCATGGATTTAAAGAATACACCAGTCTGGAGAACAATTTGGCAAGATCCAGTAAATTTTAACAATGTGATAAAGAAATTCTTGGAAGATGACAATGTGACATAGTTTTTAAAATCTCATCCAATCCCTTTTAAAAGAACAGACAGAGCAAAAGGAAAATATAACCAAAAAATCTATGCATAACTTAACAAACAAAGCCAACTGCAATTGTACCCACATGAACTCCAAAATACAATAGGTAGAGAAAAATTACCTACAGCTTGAGGGAATACATTATATGAGCAGGGAAAGAAGAAAGATGCTGCCAGAGCTGAGAACAAAACAATATGAAAAACAGTTAGACACTCAACTAGAGAGTGCAAAAGGGCAGTTATTGAATAATAGCTGAAACTGCACGGGTGTTTGCACATCCACAGGTAATTGACAAGGTTCCAAAGCAAGTTCTGAAGAAGCTTGTATTTGTTTTCTACTGCTGTATAACAAATTACTAGAAACTTAGTGACTTAAAATGACACATATGTATTATCTCACATTTTCTGTATGTCAGGATTCTGGATATGGCTTACTGAAGTCCTCTACTTAAAGCCTCAGAAGACAGCTATCAAGATGTCAACCAATCTGCATTCTCATCTGGAGGCTCTACTGGGGAAGAATTGTTTCTCTGCTTACTCTGGTTGTTGCAGAACCCATTTCTTTGCAAGTGTATAACTGCATACCCTAACTTTTTGCTGGTGGTCTCATGGAGGTCACTCCAAGTTCCTTGTCATGTGGGCCCCTAATGATGGCCTCTCATTTTATACCAGGTAGGGCAGAAAGTCTCTAGAGCAAGCCTGTTACCAGGAAGGAGTTCTGAACAATGTAACAATCATAGGGATGACATCACACTATTTTTTTTGGTCATAGTTTATTGGTTAAAAACAAGCCAATGTTAACGTCCACACTTAACGAGAGAGGATTTCCCAAAGTATGTATGATCACCCTGTGCTAGGGGTTATGACAGGCCTCATGCCCTCTTCGTCCATGATGGGCTGAAACAAAATTTAAAAGCTGAAGCTGTCGTCCAGAACAAAGCCATATACTGAGAAAAACTAAGAGATACTGATTTTAAATTTCAGATAAATAAAATAGAAATGGAAGAGAGAGAAAATAGTTAGAGGTAGGGGTGGGAAAAAGAGGTCATCTCAGAGAATAGATAGCCATATCTTTCAACTTTAATGAAGACTAAATACTATTCTGACCTGCTTCTTTCTCCTAATAATTCAGACAAATTAATTTCATATAGAATGAGCAGGGAAGGAATCACTGCCAAGTTTCCTCCAAAGTATTTATAAGCCAAAAGACCATAAGAAGCTGAATAATATCCTTTAAAAATATTTTAAAATTCCTGAAAAACCTACCCACAAGCAGATCAAAACTATAAATTAACATTTCAAAGTAATACAAATTTAATTAGGAAATAATAAAATATATGAAAGAAAAACATTGAATTCTAATTAGAGAAAGTAGCAAAAACAATATAGAACTGAGGAAAAAAGAAGATGTAAAATGGTAAAAAGATAATTTAGAGTAGAGACAAAACTAGAAATTAAAATTAATAAACAAAATAGATGCCTCTTTGAAAAAGAAAATGTGAAAAGGAGTACTTTCTGAAAGAAACACAACTGAAGGTAGTAAAGTACTTTAAGAAAGATGAGTACAGAAACAGTATATATCTTAATAAAAAGGAAAACATTCAGAAGAAAGGCATTATAAGTCTAAATATGTATATACCCAATAACATTATTTCAAAGTATAAAAAGCAATAATTGACAAAATTAAAGAGAGAAATCTAAACATCCATAATAATAAGATCTTAATATACCTATCATAATAGCATGTACAGTAATAAGACAAAACATAATTAGAATATAGATTTATAATGAACAATGGCAATAATGAATATATATTTTAATTAGCAACTCAATTTATATAACTGAATAACGTAAAACAATGTGTATTTTGAAGACATAATTGATATTATTTTAATCATGTATTGACTATTTACCAAAATATACTATACCATAAACAATTATTAATAAAAAGTCCTCAATAATTTTAAATTATATTAATTATTCACAGTGTTTCATAGCACAATTGAATTCAGCATATTCACATTTATTTTGAAATTAAAGAATTTCTAAATAATTTATAAATGAGAAAAAATAAGACCCAAATTAGAAACTTTTAAGTGAATAAAAATAAAAATCAACATTCTAAAACTTGTGAGATGCAGAGATAGATATGTTTAGAGAAAAATTTATAGCCTTAGTTTCATGTTTAAAAAAATAAGGAAGACTAAATGTTATTCATGTGAAGCTTCATTCTGGGAACAGAATTTTAAACCTAATAAGTGTAGACAGATAAAATGAATAATAAAAGAGTAAAAATAAATAAAATAAGAGAAAGGGTCATAATTTTAAAAAAATAGAAAAAAAATCAAATACTCCAGCAAGATTTATCAAAATAAAATAAGAAAATATACAAATTGTCAATAACAGTAATAAAAAAAGATCTCACTATAGACTCTACAGACATCAAAAATATAATAAGAGGATATTAATAAATAACTTTATACCAATACATTTGACAATTAGGATGACTTGGACAAATTCCCCCAAAAATGCAAGAGAAATAGTATTAGAATTATTAGAATTCTTACTAGTTGTACATGTATTAAAGAAATTGAAGGCTGGGCACTGTGGCTCACGCCTGTAATCCCAGCACTTTGGGAGGCCAAGGCGGGAGGATCACCTGAGGTAGGGAGTTGGACACCAGCCTGACCAACATGGAGAAACCCTGTCTCTACTAAAAATACAAAATTAGTCGTGTGTAGTGGCGCATGCCCGTAATCCCAGCTACTCGGGAGGCTAAGGCTGGAGAATCGCTTGAACCCGGGAAGCGGAGATTGCAGTGAGCTGAGATCTCGCCATTGCAATCCAGCCTGGGGAACAAGAGCAAAACTCTGTCTCAAAAATAAAATAAAATAAAATAAATTGAAATGGTTATTCAAATTCTTCCCACAGAGAAATTTCCAGACTCAGTTTCACCAGAGAATGTCTCCAAATATCTACGGGAGAAATAACATCAATCTTACACAAACCCTTACAGTGCACAGAAATAAAAGAAAGATGTTCTCATTTTATGAGGAAAGCATAAACTTGATTTCAAAACCAGCAAATGATCTTACAAGGAAATTAAACTAGAAACACTATCTCTCACAGACATAGATGCAAAGATCTTTTAAAAAGTTAATAAATTAAATCCAATAATACATAGTATATATAAATAAAATATATTACATCAGTATGAAAGTGCTTACTATCTATAATACATAAATAAGTTCCTTTTAAAAACAAATGATAGAAGAAAAGTTAGTAGAAATACAGGCAAAAGACTAAAACAAAATATTCCAGAAAAGGGGACATCTGATAGGTCAATGAAAATATGAATATATGTGGACACCAAATCCAATGATTAAAATGGAAAAAAAAATGCTGAGTGTTGGTGCAGATGAAGAACAGCTGGAACTCGTATAAGTTGGGAGTGCAATATTGGCAAAACCATTTAGAAAACTGTAACATTATTGACTATAGCTGAATATAAATACATCCTGTCACCTAGCAATTACCATTTTCAATGTATATATAACAGAAACGCATACATGTGTTCACCCAGAGATATGAATTTTCAAAAAAGTGCTATTTATAATTGGCACCAAATGCAAACTATCTAAATAGTAAATGCCTACTCACCATCGAATGGATAAATTACTTAAAGCATGTTCACACAACAGAATACCATAACACAGAAAAGAACAATCTACAATTTAGCACACAACAATGTGGCTAAATGTAAAAAAATGTAATATTTAAGGTAGGAAGACAGGTAGAAAATAATTCATGCTATATGAATCCATTTATGTATCAGTAATCCAGGCTATTACAAATCAGGATAGTGGTTATATTTGGAGCGGTTGTGACTGGAAAGGGAACATGAGAGGGACTTCTGTGTTTCTTGTATTGTTCTGTTTCTTGATTTAGAATGTTAATTTTGTAAATATACAGTGCATTATATACCTATACTAGCTTCTCTTTTCCATATTACACTTGGAAAAAAAAGCTGAAGCAATGACCTACATTTGCAAAATGGATTTAGTTTTCTGGTCACCTGGCATGGGCAAACAAAGAACAAAAGTACCGTCATGCACTTCATAATGACATTTCAGGAAGTCAGCAATAAAAAACAAACCACACATAAGATGGTGGTCCCATAAGATTACAATACTGTATGTATAATGCACCTTTTCTATGTTTAGATAGGTTTAGATGCACAATTACTTACCTTTGTGTTACAATTGCCTACAGTATTCAGCATAACATGCTGTGCAGGTTTGTAGCCTAGGAACAATAGGCTATTTTATATAGCCTAGATATGTATTAGGCTCTACCATCTAGGTTTGTGTAAGTACATTCTATGATGTTTACACAATGACAAAAAGCATTTCTCAGAATGTGAATCTATTGTAAAGTGATGCATAATTTAAATATCTGCTGATTTTTAAATATCTGCTGAATTCAGAATTCTCTCAATTAACTGAGTTCACATTACAAGTTACCCCAATTCTGATTTAATATCCTTTATAGACTCCAATATAAAACTCACTTTTCTCATTATTAAAATTATATAATAATTGTTGTAATGAGTACATGAGAAAACATATACATCCCTTAATTCAGTGCCTGGAACACATAAAATATAGTCTCAGATCCATATAATTTATTTTATTTTCTTGACAACTTAAAGAAGCTTGCAATCATTTTGGTAACCTGAAAATACAGGATAATAGACAATTTTGACATACATGCAATTAATTGAACATCCATGGAAAACATCACAGAGCTTTGATGTCAGCTTTTTGGATACTTCCCAAATACTCCAGCTTGCTTGATTCATTTTGCCCTTTAAGATTTAATGAGATTTGGCTTGAATTCTCATCTTATATATAGCCAGCATTTGTGAATTCCCATATTTACTGAGTTTTCCATGCCCACTCAGAACGTATTTTAATTTTCCTGTATATTGTAACATACTAAATACTGCACTGTTTTCTTTCTTCCAGCATACCACTGACTCAAATATGTCAGTATAGTGGACTTTCTTGAAGGTAGGGAAGAAATAACTAAGAGTTAATTTTCAAAATAACATGGTTACAACTTAAAACGTGATATTAAACCTTTCTATTTTTTAAAGGTTTTCATCCAATTACAACATTAAAGAATTTCTATTTGGTTTGTCTTTTACTTCATCTTCCCATCAGGTAACTATTACTCTAGAATTTTTATCCTTTGAAATGCTTTCCTCTATTCCTAAATTGCTATTATTAATCATATAATTTATGGTGCATATATATATTAATATATTATATATAATATATATAATATATATAGGTTTTTTATACAAAGCAATTAATTTTTTAATGGTATATATATGTTTATTGTATAATTCATGGTATATACATTTATATATATAAATAGGAACAAATACATATAACATACATAAATATATATATATATATATATATTTGTTCCTTTTTTATACAAAGCAATGGATTTTTTCTTAGTCTCAATTCTAGCCCCTTATAGGGACTCTCATTCTATAACCAAAATGCAATCTCAGCAATGTGCTAAAATTTTGGAGACTTTCATATACCATTTTAAGTGAGAACACAGTAAGTCTTATAATAAAGCCAAAGCAGCATGCATGGATTTTTATTAAATTTATCATAATTTTTAAATAATACTAGGAATTCAGTTTATGTTTCTCATGTTTTTAAATTAGCCATATAAAACTAGTTGCATTTAAATAAATATTTTAGACCCAAAAATATAGGGAAAAGGCAGAAAAATAGGGCAAAACATCAAAATTAAGTATGTGCCACTACATAATTTGAGTGAAACATAAAAAAGAAATCCTAAAATGGCACATAAGGTATAACAAAACCACCAAGTATAGAATACCTAATTTGTAAATGGTGGCATAAATATGACAACACAATATAATAAAGATATTTCAAACAGAATTGATTCACTAGGTGCTGAACAATCAATGAATTATTAAAAACGTTATTATACTTAGGTATAAGCAATTTAAAATGTAGCATCTACTATAAACTAGTACTGCAGTTTAAACAGTTTTAAGAGATAGCAAGGTCCTGATTTGAGTTGAAAAGGACAGAGTACTGACAAGTAGCCACATCAACTTCCTATTAAATGACCAGAAATGCTGATTTATTAAAAAGTCCTGCATAGGAGCAACAAAATATATGAAGCTTTGGGTTAGTTAAACTTTACTTAAGATTAAGGAAGATATAAACAGTAAAAACAGATAAGGATAAATCTTTCAGGCAGTGAAATTGTACATAGATTCTGACCTCAAAAATACTGTAAAAAGAAACTTGTTTTTAGGATGCTGAGTTTCTCCATGTCCAGACCATTTCCCCTTGGTGACACCATTTTGTCAGTGCCATCTTTGCTGTCTGCCAGTCTAATATTTTAAATATTCTCAAACTCTTAACATCATTAATACAAGATTTTAATTCCCACTGAGATAAATTTTAGAGCATTATTTTCTTCCCAAGATCATTTGCATTTTATAATGTATTAATTTTAAAATAAAAATATCCACCACAGTCGATGATAGAAGCAAGCTTTCACACCTGAAAAAGTTGACACGTTTACCTGTGTAACAAACCTGCACGTGTACCCTTGAACTTAAAAGTTAAGAAAAAAAACCTCATTTCTATCTACACACAAAAAAAGGGCAATTCTATCTACACACAAAAAACTTTGTTTTGTGATGCGATCACAGAATACCACAGACTTGGTAATTTATAATGAACAGATATGTATTGGCTCACAGTTCTGGAGACTGTTAAGTCCAATATCAAAGTGCTGGCTTCTGGTAAGGGTCTCCTTACTGTGTTACATTATATGGAGGAAGGAAGGCAAGAGGGCAAGAGAGCAAGAGGTGTCTGAACTTGCTCTTTTATAATGGCATTAATCCCATCTTTGATGGTAGAACTATAATGGCCTAATCACCTCTTACTATTTAATAATTACAATTACGATTAAATTTCAACATGAATTTTGAAAGAGACAAACACTCAAATCATAGCAATAAATTGATTACCTATTCTGAATCCAAAGATTAGACTGGCCCTCATTGGAAAATTTGTATCAGAACTTATGTATTAGAAATTAGTTATAAAATGTTAATAAATGAAGCAAAGTAGTATTTGTTACAAGTTGAATTGCATCCCCCAAAACTCGTATGTTGAAGTCCTAATTTCCAAAATCTCAGAATGTGACCTTATTTGGAAACAGGGTAATTGCAGATGTAATTAATTATGTTATGATAAAGTTAATAGGGTGAGTCCTAACCTAATATGACTGATGTCCTTATAGAAAGGAGAAATTTGAGACAGAGATGGACATACACTCAGGAAGAACACTGTGAAAATTAGAATTATGCTACCAGAAGCCAAGGAATAGATCTTTCCCTAGCACCTTCAGAGGGAGCATGGACCTGCTGACACCTTTGTTGTGGACTTCTAGCCTCCAGAAGTATGACAATAAATTTCTGTTGTTTAAGCGATTCAGTTTGTGGTACTTAGCTATAGCTGTCTTAGCAAACTAATACAGTATTCTGTTTTAAAATTAACTTTCATATAAATTGTAACATTCAAAGGGCAGAGGTTGGAGAAGATGTTTGTAGGGTTAAGAGGTTATCCTCATGTATAATGGATGTTATAAGAGAACAGATCCTCTCTTAAGAAAGAATTAATTGTGATATTGTCATTTCTCACCTTTTGATGTAGTCTAACATATGGATCCCACAAAATTGAAAACAATCAAGGGCTAATGCATCTCTTATGCAAACAAATAGTAAATATGAGTAATTAAATTTAAAAAGGATTACATATTATCTAATAAGCCGACAAAGGCTATCACATCAAAAGACTGGTAATTCCTACAGCAGATGGAAACTTTAGTTGTGAAAAAAAATCTAGATAGAGACCATTGACACAGATAGATCTATACCTAACAAAAAACTCATCAGATTACATAATATGATTATTAATAATAGCAATACTTATCATGACTATCTGTCATGTATATACACAGAATGTGTGGGTACATATTGAAGATAATACAATGCCATTAAGTGATTTGACAAGTACAGTAGCAAATTTTTACTTTCAGATTACTATTAAGTAAATATTTTTTGATTTATTTAAATCCTTCTCTAAATTTTCTAATTTCACCAAATTCCATGCTACTATTACTTATGTGACATGATTCTAGAAATGGGCAGAAGCCAGTTACACACCATAGATATTCTTAGAGGATTTTATTGGGAAGTGTAATGTTTCTAAAGGAGAAAAAAAATAAAAGACAAAAAAAATAAAAGTAGCTGCAAGGTTATATTGAGATTATTACCTTAACTAAAATAAGATTCTAAATTGAGTGACACATTGTGATATTTAGGATTTAGCACACTCATATTAGGGTATATTTATTATTACGTCCATACACAGCTGAGTTAATCAACTACTATAATGTTAAATATAGATCACAGAGGAATACAACATGACTCAAAGAATCATACCAAGAAATCACAAATGGAAAGGTTTCTTATATATTCAGTTCACATAAGATGTGATTTATAAAGATAAGATAAAAACTTTTTTGTCAGAGGGAAATATGGATAAATGGATTTTTGCTAGCTTCACATGCCATGCTAACAAATTATATATTTTTACACATAGATAAGAGGTTGAGTTCTTTTTCAGCATTCTTTTTCTCACAATTACTAGGGAATGGGAAAACAGGGTGTAAGATACTAAGATGAGAAGATACTATGAAAGTAGAAATGTTGAACAATTTGAGTATGAAATTTTTATTCTTTTAATTTCTGAGTCTTTTTTTTTAACCTTTATTTTAGCCTCAGGGGTACATTTGCAGGTATGTTACATAGATAAATTGTGTCACCAGGATTTTGTATAGAGATTATTTCACTACCCAGGTAATATGGATGGCACCTAATAGGTACTTTTTGTCCTCACTCTCCTCCCACCCTCCATCTTCAAGTAGTCCCCATTGTCTGTTATTCCCTTCTTTGCATTCATATGTATTCAATATTTATTTTGCAATTATATGTGAGAACATGCAATATTTGGTTTTCTATTTCTGTGTTAGTTCACTTAGGATAATGGCACCCAGCTCTATCCATGTTGCTGCAAAAGACAATGATCTCAATCTTTTTTATAGCTGTGTAGTATTCCATGGTATATGAGAACCATATTTTCTTTATCCAATCTACCACTGATGGACATTTAGGTTTACTCCATGTGTTTGCTATTGTGAATAGTGCCATGATGAGCAAACACTTGCATGTGTCTTTATGGTAGAACCATTTACATTCTTTGGGGTATATAATCAATAATGGGATTACTGGGTGGAATGGCAATTCTGCTTTTAGCTCTTTGAGAAATTGACAAACTGTTGTTTTTTGACTTTCTGATAACAACCTTTCTGATTGGTGTGAGATGGTATCCCATAATGGTTTTGATTTGCATTCCTCTAATAATTAAAGATGTTGAGAATTTTTCCATATACTTGTGGGCTGCATGTATGTCTTCTTTTGAAAAGTGTCCGTTCACGTCCTTTGCCCACTTTTTAATGGAGTTGTTTGTTTTTTTGCTCATTAATCCATTTAAGTTCCTTATAGATTCTGGGTATTAGACCTTTGTTTGATGCATAGTTTGCGAATATTTTCTCCCATTCTGTAGGTTCTTTGTTTACTCTGTTGATAGTTTTACTTTTTCCTGTGCAGGATCTCTCTAATTTAATTAGATCTTATTTGCCAATTTTTATTTTTATTGCAATAGCTTTTGGCATCTGCATCATGAAATCTTTGACAGGCCCTATGCCCAAAATGCTATTTCCTAGGAGGTTATCTTCCAGTATTTGTATAGTTTTAGGTTTTGCATTTAAGTCTTTAATCCATCCTAACTTGATTTTTGTATATTGTATAAGGAAGGGATTCAGTTTCAACCTTCTGCATATGACTAGTCAGTTATCCCAGCACCATTTATTGAATAGGGACCACTTTCCTTATTGTTTGTTTTTGTAGACTTTGTCCCAGATCAGATGATTCTAGGTGTGTCACATTATTTCTGGGCTCTCTATTTTGTCCCATTGGTCTATGTGTCTACATGTCAGTTTTTGTACCAGTACCATGCTGTTTTGGTTACTGTAGGCTTACAGTAGAGTTTGAAGTTTGATAACATGATGCCTTCAGCTTTCTTCTTTTTGCTTAGGATTGTGTTGGCTATTCATGCTCTTTCCACTTGATTTTTAAAATAATTTTTTTTCTAATTCTGTGAAAAACGTCATTGGTAGTTTGATAGAAATAGTATTAAATCTGTAAATTGCTTTGGGCAGTATGGCCATTTTAACATGCTCTTGGATTCCTATCCAAGAGCATGGAATATTTCCAGTATCATTCTGATACCAAAACCTGACAGAGACATAACAAAAAAAGAAAACTTCAAGCAAATATCCATAATGAATATAGATGCAAAAATCCTCAACAAAATACTAGTAAATCAAATCCAGCAGCAGATCAAAAACCTAATCCACCACAATTAAGTAAACTTTATCCCTGCGATGCAAGGTTGTCTTAACATATGCAAATCAATAAATGTGATTAATAACATAAAACTAAAAACAAAAACAAGATGATTATCTCAATAAATGCATAAAAGGCTTTTGATAAAATTTAACATCTCCATGTTTTTTAAAAAAACTCTTAATAAACTAGGGATTTAAGAAACATACTTCACAATAATGAATGTCATCTATGACAAACCCACAGCCAATGTCATACTGAATGAGTAAAAGCTGGAAGCCCTCCCCTTGAAAACTGGAAAAAGACAAGGCAAAAACCACTTTTGGAAACTCTGCACAAGAAATTGCAGAATATAACCAATTTGCACATCCTATCCTGTCTAATAAAAGCAAATGCCAGTCCAGCTTGTTTCAATCACTATATATTGGATAATCTTTTTCATAGCATATTGGTCTGTACCCTAAATCTTACAATATGACTTGTAAATTGGTTAAAAACAAAGTGAAAAATAATATTTCATTTTAGGAAAACAGGGCTAATTATACAAACCAAACATGCACATGACATTAAGTCAGGCTGTATTATTTAGGCAATAACCTTACCTGTTTTATTTGTCTCTGTTAAAGTCTGATAAAATATAAAGTGTGAGACATTAGTATTGATAATCTACTAGAGAAGAAATAAAACCTCCAATGTGCTGAGCCTGAAAATAAAAAACAGTAATGTGTCAGTAAATATCTTAAATGTTTTAATATCCTATGCACCTTTCAAAACTGGTCCTTAGGTCCGTATTTGAATGTGTTAATATCATTATTGAACCTAAAAGTTGCTACCAAGTGCCTCTTTTGTCTTCCTAGTTTTCAGTATATAGCTGATTAAGCTGTGTGCAGATTTTCTAGTTTATGCCAGATAACCAAAGAAAATATTTTAAATATATTTGACAATTGTAATCTGTAACTTCTTTAGTAATTCTGCTAGTACACATATGGTGTCTCTCACTTATGTCTAGAAGTAGCTGTATTACATTAAGTATGCTTCATTAATGATTCACTCAACATTAAGCATTGATTAAGCACCTAATAAATTCATATTAATAGATAAAAATTTGTTGTGATAATGATGACAAGCTCCTCTCCAAGTACTCCAAGCTTCATCTCCAATATTTTCTTATGTGTCAAATATAAAATTTATAACCATTCCAGAAATAGAACTCTGAGTCTTGTTGATCTCCTTGTTTACATGCTATCATCGTATCTGAAAATACATCAAAACATAGATTGCTTTTTCTGCACAGAAAGACTAAGTGCAGATGAATTATTGCCCATTTCAAATGTTATGTTCCCCCCTCCCAATTTGCCCATTTACTCTAAGCTGAGTTCCTACAGATGCCTTTGCCTAGATGACATTATTTCAGATGATGTATTTATATGATTCTCTCTCTACTGTTGCCACATTCAAATGCATTTGTGGAATCCAGCCATGCACAATAAACAATAATTTTTTAAATCCTTTATTCCAGGGCAAGCCATTTCTTCTAGCTATTCCACAGCACGAAGTGCAACTAAAGTGTTAGTATAATCATTTCATTAAATGATAGCCAAAGCAAAGAAGAAAATTGTTGTCCACTGACAATAAGACACAAACACAAAAACAAACATAAATAAAGGGAACAGCTGCAGAATATGTGTAAATACATTTATTTTTTAAGACTAAAATTGAAAGTCATACATAGAGAATCTAAATTTTGAAATAGTTGCTTACTCCTTCATGAAATACTTTAATTATCCTGGCTAGAAGGACAGCAAATTCTCCCCATTTTCCCTCTTTTTCATTGCTATTCCCTCTTCTTCTCCATTCCTGCCTTATTTTCCTCTTTCTATCTTCCAAATGTTGGCATGTCCCAGGACTAATTTATCAGATCTTTTCTCTTTTCGCTTGCTCCCTAAGTGAGTGGTGGCTTAAAATGTCATCTGTACACTAATGTCTTTTAAATTAACATCTCTATCAATGATTTCTCCCTTAAGGATAGAATCTAATACTCAACTACCTAGCTGATATGGGGGTTAGTTGATTGATTAGTAAATGGTTCAAATTTAACATGTTCTGAACTAAATTAGTGATTTTTGTCATTGCCTTTCACCTGTTCTTTTCCTATGTTTTCTAAGTCAGTAAATGGTAATTCTATTAGCCAATTTGCTCAAGCCTAAAGCTTAAGTCATTGTTTTCTTCATTTATTCTTCCATTACCATATTCAGTAAGCAAGATCTATGAGTGCTGTCTTAAAAAGACTTACCAAATACAGCTACTCATCACTGCCTTTCCTGTTAACACCTTCAGTTCAGTTATTCTATGCCTAATAAATACAGTAATTTCCAAATCATTTTCTCTGCTTCTAACTCTACAGTTATAAGTCTAAAAGATAACCAGTGTGATATCTTCCAAATGAAAATCAGACCTATCACTATCCTGCTAAGCAATTTGTTTCTACTTCAGAATAAAACTCAAATATTTACTTTAAAGATAAAATCCAAATGGAATACAGGGCTTTACATGATGTGGAAACAGCCTACTTCCGCTAACTTTTTCTCCAGCCACTCTCCAGTTTGCATTTCTTTCTGTGCCTTAATATTTTAGAATATTAAGGCTCCTTTCTGTTTCATGCCCTTACTACTTAGTATTCCTGTTCCTGAAATGCTCTTTCCTCATGATCTTGGCCTGGCAATTCCCTGACTTGATGAAAGTCTCTCCTTAAATTTCATTTCCTAAGAACATGACCAATTTACAAAAGTCTATCTAACATGACTCTCCACACCAAGTATATCGTACTTGCTTATACATTCAACTTTACTTACTAGTCCTCAATATGTATCATATATATATAAATCAAAATCAATGTAAATATCTATATATCATATGTTATCTATGTATGTATATCTATATATGATATCAATAACATGCTGATAAACATAGATAAATATATATACCATGTATGATATATATTACATATATGCTTATTGAATTATTTATCTGTCTCTTTCCCAGTAAAATTTAAATTCCATAAAGACAGAAACATTTGTAAATCCACTACTCTATTCCCAAAGCCTAAATCATATAGGATAATGACCATAAAATATCTCTACAAAAATAAATATAATTGTTGTCATTTTAAGGATTATTTTTTACAACTTTGAATACACAAAATAAGCTTATTTGCAAATCTTCTTTTAAAGCACAGTTTCATCAATGATTAATAATTGCATTTTCTTATTTTTAATATTGTATTAGGAAAGTAAAAACTCATCAGATGCCAACATAAAAACCAAAAATTTGACAATAACATCTATTTGTACAGTGTTCCTCATTTAATTACCCATTTTCCTTTACCTGAGGTAACTATCTATTTTGAGTATTTCTGTGTTATGGTTAATTTTCTTAAATTTAGAATATCCTATTTAGAGTCAGTACCATTTTATAACTGTGGTAAAATTCTCAATATACACCAAAACTCCTCATAAAAACAGACAGACTGTAAGTAGCCAAAGAAAAAATCACAAAGAACATCTTCAACAAAACTAGGTGGCAAGTTATCCTGAGAGTGTTAGATTAAGAGTGCTTGAGGCAAAACACATTAAAAATCAGGATCCATACAAGATTAATAGGTGTACAAAGGTGGTGGAGGGAAAATAAAGAAATGTTTGGATGATCCTAAAAGCACAGGGTGAGAGAAATCAACCACCAATACTCACACCAAGAGAATCTCCGGTAAGCTGTACAGAGTTTAACAATGAAATTGGAGAGGGAGAAGAGGGAGAAAGAGAAGGAGAGGGAGATGGGAAGAAGGAGATGGGAGAAATAAAATGAGGGACCCACTAAGGGTTCAATAGGACAGAGACACTTTAAAGAAAAATGTGACATATAAACAAATTCAATAGGGTAGATTCGGTGCAGGTAAAATTTCAATTATTTGTCAGCAAGGATTCCAGAGAAGGCAGATTACAAAACTATGAAGGCTGCTATTTCAGATTAACCATATTTTAAACTTTTGAGGTAACAACATAAGAGAAAGCCTTCTAGTAATATACCCACAACCCCTATACAGAATCTTCTTCCTAAAAGTATGGGAACACCCATCCAATGTCTTTATCTACTTCTCTCTCTCTATCTCTAGTGTCTAACAGCTCTCTATCATCCATGTTAAATATCTTGAGTTCATGCAGATATCAATATAATAATTTGGGGTATATTCTACTCTAACTTCTTTCTGTGTTTATAACGCCTCTCTCAAAAAATTATAAACCTAGGTGTCACTATCAGACCTAGAATACTGAGAAAGTATTCTTAGAATTTCCAACCTATATTAGAGGTTTAAAAATTGTAACTAGTTGGAATTTAAAAGTTGTTTATCTTCTTTGTTTAGGTAAAAATAACATAAAGAAAAGGTACAATTCTTAAATAAACACTCTGCTGATATTTGAAAAATACATACATGCATGTAGCCCACAGTCTTATTGAGATAAAGAGTATTCATAGCACTCAGAAAGTGTCCTGGTGCTGCTAATCAGTAAAACCTCCCCAAAGATAACCACTATATTTTTTATTTGTTTCTTACCACAAATTATTTTTGTCTGTGCCAGAACTTCACATACATAAACACGGCTACACTCTTTTACGTTTGCTTTTCTTCACTCAGGATAGTATCTATGAGGTACATTCATGATGTAAGTATATCAGTAGCTAGTTCCATTGTATTGCTGAGTAATAATCCACTGAATGAATATAACGTGCAATTGTGTACAGTTTATTCCATTGACAGTCTTTAGGATTGTTTCCAGCTATTTAGTATTAAAAGTAAAGTTGATACAATTATTTTTGCATAAAGTCATTTAGTGGAGGAATGTTTCATTGCAGTTATAAAAATACAAGTAGACCTGCTTATTAGCAGTATATACAATTTTTTTTTTTTTTTTTTTGAGACGGAGTCTCGCTCTGTCGCCCAGGCTGGATTACAGTGTCCTAATCTCCGCTCACTGAAAGCTCCGCCTCCCGGGTTCACGACATTCTCCTGCCTCAGCCTCCCGAGTAGCTGGGACTACAGGCGTCTGCCACCACTCCCAGCTAATTTTTTGTACTTTTAGTAGAGACGGGGTTTCACCGTGTTAGCCAGGATGATCTCGATCTCCTGACCTCGTGATCCATCCGCCTCTGCTTCCCAAAGTGCTGGGATTACAGGCGTGAGCCACCGCGCCCAGCCCACAGTATATACAGTTTTATAAGAAATTGATAACCTTTTCCTAAAGTGATAATATCATTCAATGTTGTCGCTTTTCCATTAACCGTTCTAGTGGATGTCTAGTGGCCTCTCATCATGTGTGTTTATATTGAAATTATCCTTGATTATTCTAATGAAGTTGAACATTTTTTCAAGTGTATGTTGGTGATTTGTCTCCCTTGTGAAAGATCATTTCAGGTCTGTGGCCCATATTTATTGCGTTTTTTAAAAAATTGTTGAATTCCACAAGTTTTTAGGTTCCTAGATAAATATAAACCTAAAAATGTGTTCAATGAAACAGTTTAGGTTCCAAGATAAAAGTCCACTGTGTGTGAATATATATTTTAGAATATTAAGCTCCTTTCTGTTTCATGCCCTTGGTACTTAGTATTCCTGTTCCTGAAATGCTCTTTCCTCATGATCTTGGCATGGCAATTCCCTGACTTGATAAAAGTCTCTCCTTAAATTTCATTTCCTAAGAACATGACCAATTTAGGAAAGTCTATCTAACAAGACTCTCCAACCACCAAATAGATAGTATTTGCTTATGCATTCAACTTTACTTACTAGTCCTCAATATGTATCATATATATAAAAATCAATATCAATGTAAATATCTATAGATCATATGTGGTATCTGTCTATATATATCTATAATTATATATATTATATATATGCACATACAGTGTATATATATATATATATAAATACACACACACACATATATGTATGTATTCCAGGTACCAGATCTAAACATATATATAAAAGCATACGTATATATGTGTGTATATATACACATATGTATATAAAAAATATATGTATTTGTATGTATATACATGTGTATATATATATACACACACACACACACAGAGTGGACTTTTATCTTGGAACATGGAACACCATATATTTTAGGAATGCATATATATATATATATATATATATATATATATATATATATATATTTCCATTCATATATGTGTGTGTGTACCAGGTACCAGATCAAAATATATATATATAAAAGTATGTGTGTATATATGTGTGATATATATATACACATGTATATATTTATGCATATGTGTATATATATATATACACACGTATATATTTATGCATATGTGTGTATATATATATATATACACACACACACAGTGGACTTTTATCTTGGAACCTGGAACACACACACACACACACACACACACACATATATATATATATATATTTATATGTATTTATTTATTTAGATCTGGAACCTGGAATACATATACATATATGTTTGTGTTTGTGTGTGTGGTGTTTTTGTATGTGTTTTTTGTTTTTTTCATTTCTTGTGGTTTTGTGGTAGGTGGTTAACATGTTTAGCTTTTACTTTCATGGCTAGGATTTATCTCAATTTTTTTGTTTCACAGTGTGAGGAGTCAATTCATTTTTTCCCCAAATGGATATCCAGTTGTTTGAGCACCATTTATTTGTTAGAAAGATGTTCATTTCCTCTATTGAATTTCTTTGTTAACTTTGTCAAAAATTAAATAATCATGTGTCAATGTATTAGTAAATAAACTCTGTCCAGCAGAATTTTCTCTGAGAGTGGACTTCATCTGTATCTTTGCTGTCTAGTAATGTAGCTACTAGCCACATGTGGCAATTGAGTACTTGAAATATGGCCAGTGCAAATAAGAAAATGAATTTTTAATTGAATTTAATGATGGTAAATTTGAATATAAACTTAAATAACCACAAGTGGCTGATGCGTACTATGGCTGATGCGTACTACATTGGAAAGCAAAATTCTAGACTCTAGTATACTTTATTAAGCTGTATTTCTAATTTACAACAATGCTAAAAATTTTTCATTACCATGTTTTTATAGTACTTTTCTACTATAGTAGTATAAGTAAATCATCCAACTTTAAACTTTTTTATCTCAATTACCCTGGCCATTCAAAGCCTTTGCCTTTTCATATAAAATTCCATTTAATAGCCATTTCATTCCAGTTTAAAGTAAAAAAACTTTTAAGAAATGTAACCAGTACTGGATTGAATCTGCAGAACAATCCATCTCAAAGAAAAAGACACTATTTTTATAGTGCCTTTCAATACAGTATATTATTTATTTATGTATTATTTAAATTATTCAAGAAACATTTTGTAGTTTTCAATTCCTAGCATGCTGTAGGAAAATTATAATTTGACAAAACATGTTTTTCTTTTTACATATAATTGGATTCAATATATAATATTGAAAATGCTTTATTAAAGATCTTTTACATCTGTGCTTGTGAGGGATACTACTTTGTAGTAGACTTTTTTTTCTTGAAATACCTTTCTCTGGATTTGGTATAACGCAGGTTTGGTTTCACAAGCTGGCAGCTCTTTTAGTATGGCTTTAGGTGCATCCCACAAATTTCATTCACTAAATATTAATTTTCATTTAGTTCAAAATGTTTTAGTTTCCTTGACTATTTCCTCTTTGATTTATATACTGTTTAATGTCAAAATATTTGGGGATGTATTATATATCTTTCTGTTATTAATTGCTAGTTTAATTCTATTAACTTCTGACAACATACTTTATGTGATTTCTATTATTTTAATTTTTTAAGGTTACTTTTATGGCTCAGAATATGATATATCTTGGTGATTATCCCATGTGCCCTTGAGTGCTGTATCAGTCATATATTGCTGCATATAAATTACCATGAAACTTCAAACAATACATATTTATTTTCTTATTGCTTCTGTGGGTTTGGTACCTAGGAAAAGCTTAGCAGAATCCTCTGATTCAGAGTCTCTCATAGACTGCAATCAAGATGTCATTTGGCTGAGGATATCCAAAGTCTCAACTGTAGAAAAATTCATGTCCAAGCTCATGTAGTTGTTGGCAGGATTCACTTCCTCTCAGGCTATTGAACTGAGAGTCTCAGTTTTTGCTGGTTGTTGCCAGAGGGCTGCTGCCATCACATCCTTGGCCTATGGGTCTTTCCAACATGGCAGATTGTTTCATCAAAATGTGCAAGTCAAGAGGGCTACAGAGAAAGTCAGCTAGCTGGGTCAAGCCATTCTTTTTACCCTGATCACAAAAGCAACATTATCACATTTGCTGCTTTCAATAAGATCAATTAAAGAGGTCCAGCTATTTCAATAAGATCAATTAAAGACGAGAGACTTAAAAGAGGGCAAACCACAAGGTGGAATCTCCACCCCCTTGCTTCTCACTCTCTGTCCTATTGTGTGACAGTTTCACTAGGAAGAAAGAATGATTGAGAGGCTATGTTGGGCTCACCTTGTGTATTTCCCTTCTTTCAAGGTGAAAGTCCTCTGATATTTGCAGTTTGATGCTTGAAAATTACTACCTCGTATATTTTGTCCAGTGTTATAATTGTTTTCAACAGTAGGCAAGTTGGGTGCCAGTTACTTCGTCATTACCAGGAGAGTCATTTGCAGGTATTTTGATTATGATTGTGCTGAACCTGTAGTTCTGGTTGAAAATAATTGATGTCTTAATAGTACTGAAACATCTGATTCATAAACATGGTACTTCTCTCCATTTCTTTAGATATATTTTAATTTCTCAGCAGTGTTTTGTAGTTGTCAGCTTAAATTATTTTAAATTAATTTTTTCCAATTATTTATTTCTAACAGACACACATTATTTTCTCATTCCGTAGCTTGCTAAATTTACTTAGTAGTTCTCTAATAATCCTTTGTAGGCTTATTTAAATTTTCAAAGTCTAGGATTTCCCCCAGTTTACTACATATAAATATAGTGTTTTACTACTTCTTATCAAAGCTTTATTATTTCTTTCTTTTTAAAAATTTATTGTTTATTGTACAGGCTAAGTTCTTCAGAATTATATTAAATAAAAGTAGAGTAAAAATTATTTTGTTGTTCATGTTTATACACCCTACATTTGTTCTGATGTTGCAGTAGATTTCTCGTAGATACCTTATCGCTTTGATAAATTTTCTTCTGTCATTTGCTTACAGTTTTTATTATGAAGTTTTGTTGAGTTATCTTGCATAAGTTGTTCTGCCTCTACTGAAATGATCTTATACTTTTTTCCTTCTGTTACACCTATACTTTTGCATAAAAACAAAGGAGGTTTTTCTAGATTGAAGGTCTGTTAAATAACATTACAACCAAATATAATCTGCAGAATTTGGATGCTGACTGGAAAAAATAAAAGTATAAAATACATTTTCAGACAAGTATAAAAATTTAAAAATATATTAAATGTTAATTTATACCAAAGCATTATTATTAGCTTTGTAAATAATTATAAGGCATTG
This sequence comes from Homo sapiens, assembly GCF_000001405.40. Taxonomy (NCBI): domain Eukaryota; kingdom Metazoa; phylum Chordata; class Mammalia; order Primates; family Hominidae; genus Homo; species Homo sapiens. The sequence continues at coordinate 306,348 of NW_015148967.1, forward strand.
TGATTATATAAGACTGTGTGAAATGGACTATAAAAAGGTGAAATAACATGATAACTGGAATTTTCTCTAAGTTACTTCTAAAAAAATCTAATATACAAAAAGAGAAAAAAAACTGGGAGAAATTCTTAAGAGTTGTTATCTTGGGAAATAGATATATGTGAAGCTGTTGGAGGCCAAAAGATTGAGGGTCGTGATCAACTCAGCATACCACTGGAGGCTATATGAATAAGCAGCAAACTGTTTCTTATAAATGCAGAATGTTGGCAGACTGACAAACTGCATCTGCCACCCAGAAGGAATGCTGAGGGCAGTCACACCCCACCCCAAGTGCAATGTTTCTTGTGATTAGGTGCATCTGAAGCCTGTTGGTAATAATATGAACCTGTGATCAATTAACCAGCTGACCAATCATTACCTCCTCCTCCCTGCTCTTGTTACCCAATAAATACCGAGGCTTGTGGAAGCTCGGCAGCTGCCTTCGCTCACTAGAAGTAGGGAGCTCTCTTCTTCCCCTTCCCCCCTTCCTTTAAAACAGTTTCTTTTGTCTTAAGTTTTCATTTCTACGTTCATCTGTTTGTTCAGTCTTGTAATGATGGTCTCAAGCAGTAATAGTAGTAACTGCTATAATGACAGTCTCAAGCAATAACAGTAGTAACTGCTGTAATGACGGTCTCAAGTAGTAACCATGGCAGTCTGTCACAAGTGGCACCCAAACAGGGACAATCAGGGAGAAACACAGACCTGAAGAGACCTGAATGGACCTGAAGAGGCCTGCAGGGACAAATAGAGATAAGTATGGATAAATATAAATAAATAAACAGAGACAAATAGAGATAGGTAGAGAAAGACAGGGACTTGCAGGAACTTGCAGGAACTAACAGGGACCATAGGGACAGACAGGGAAAGGTAGGGACAGATAGGGTCCTATAGGAATTTGAACGATGAAGCTCTGCTGGAACAGAAAAAACTAAAGCCCAGAAAAAACTGAAACCAACAAGACGAACAAGAAACCCCATTACAAGTCAACATAGACTAGCAAAGACTAGCAGAAACTTGCAGAGAAGACAGACAAGAAAAGATAGGGACAGATAGAGTCCTATAGGAACTTGAACGAGGCAGGTCTGCTGGAGCAGAAAAAACTAAAACCGACCAGACAAACGAGAAACCCTGTTACAAGTCTGCCAACATTATACATTTATGAGAAACAGCTTGTTGCTTACTTATATAACCTCCAGTGGTATACTCAGTTCATCATGACCCTTAATCTTTTGGCCTCCAACATGAAGCCATTAATTTTCTTTAGAATACATGAAATTTCTTTGAGATAGACTTAAAAGAATTAGAACGAATAACAAGGGTGTCAGTTTCTAGTAGCTGTATTTTTATGGTTTGGAATACAAGTTCTACTTCCTCCAGTTAGGTCTGGATCATTTTTCAGGATACAGTAAACAGACACTATGTCTTCATATCAATTAATAAAAATAAAAAACAAAGTATTAAAAAGAACAAAAGGTAGTGTTTCCAATTCTGTGAAGAAAGTCATTGGTAGCTTGATGGGGATGGCATTGAATCTATAAATTACCTTGGGCAGTATGGCCATTTTCACGATATTGATTCTTCCTACCCATGAGCATGGAATGTTCTTCCATTTGTTTGTATCCTCTTTTATTTCATTGAGCAGTGGCTTGTAGTTCTCCTTGAAGAGGTCCTTCACGTCCCTTGTAAGTTGGATTTCTAAGTATTTTATTCTCTTTGAAGCAATTGTGAATGGCAGTTCACTCATGATTTGGCTCTCTGTCTGTTATTGGTGTATAAAATGCTTGTGATTTTTGTACAATGATTTTGTATCCTGAGACGTTGCTGAAGTTGCTTATCAGCTTAAGGAGATTTTGGGCTGAGACAATGGGGTTTTCTAGATATACAATCATATCGTCTGCAAACAGGGACAACTTGACTTCCTCTTTTCCTAATTGAATACCCTTTATTTCCTTCTCCTCCCTGATTGCCCTGGCCAGAATTTACAACACTATGTTGAATAGGAGTGGTGAGAGAGGGCATCCCTGTCTTGTGCCAGTTTTCAAAGGGAATGCTTCCAGTTTTTGCCCATTCAGTATGATATTGGCTGTGAGTTTGTCATAGATAGCTCTTATTATTTTGAGATACGACCCATCAATACCTAATTTATTGAGAGTTTTTAGCATGAAGGGTTGTTGAATTTTGTCAAAGGCCTTTTCTGCATCTATTGAGATAATCATGCGGTTTTTGTCTTTGGTTCTGTTTATATGCTGGATTACATTTACTGATTTGCATATATTGAACCAGCCTTGCATCCCAGGGATGAAGCCGACTTGATCATGGTGGATAAGCTTTTTGATGTGCTGCTGGATTGGAAAAAACTACTTTAAAGTTCATATGGAACCAAAAAAGAGCCCACATCGCCAAGTCAATCCTAAGCCAAAAGAACAAAGCTGGAGGCATCATGCTACCTGACTTCAAACTATACTACAAGGCTACAGTAACCAAAACAGCATGGTACTGGTACCAAAACAGAGATATAGATCAGTGGAACAGAACAGAGCCCTCAGAAATAACGCCGCATATCTACAACTCTCTGATTTTTGAAAAACCTGAGAAAAACAAGCAATGGGGAAAGGATTCCCTATTTAATAAATGGTGCTGGGAAAACTGGCTAGCCATATGTAGAAAGCTGAAACTGGATCTCTTCCTTACACCTTATACAAAAATTAATTCAAGATGGATTAAAGACTTAAACGTTAGACCTAAAACCATAAAAACCCTAGAAGAAAACCTAGGCATTACCATTCAGGACATAGGCATGGGCAAGGACTTCATGTCTAAAACACCAAAAGCAATGGCAACAAAAGCCAAAATTGACAAATGGGATCTAATTAAACTAAAGAGCTTCTGCACAGCAAAAGAAACTACCTTCAGAGTGAACAGGCAACCTACAAAATGGGAGAAAATTTTTGCAACCTACTCATCTGACAAAGGGCTAATATCCAGAATCTACAATGAACTCAAACAAATTTACAAGAAAAAAACAAACAACCCCATCAAAAAGTGGGCAAAGGATATGAACAGACACTTCTCAAAAGAAGACATTTATGCAGCCAAAAGACACATGAAAAAATGCTCATCATCACTGGCCATCAGAGAAATGCAAATCAAAACCACAATGAGACACCATCTCACACCAGTTAGAATGGCAATCATTAAAAAGTCAGGAAACAACAGGTGCTGGAGAGGATATGGAGAAATAGGAACACTTTTACACTGTTGGTGGGACTGTAAACTAGTTCAACCATTGTGGAAGTCAGTGTGGCGATTCCTCAGGGATCTAGAACTAGAAATACCATTTGACCCAGCCATCCCATTACTGGGTATATACCCAAAGGACTATAAATCATGCTGCTATAAAGACACATGCACATGTATGTTTATTGCAGCATTATTCACAATAGCAAAGACTTGGAACCAACCCAAATGTCCAACAATGATAGACTGGATTAAGAAAATGTGGCACATATACACTATGGAATACTATGCAGCCATAAAAAATGATGAGTTCATGCCCCTTGTAGGGACACGGATGAAATTGGAAATCATCATTCTCAGTAAACTATCACAAGGACCAAAAAACCAAACACCGCATGTTCTCACTCATAGATGGGAATTGAACAATGAGAACACATAGACACAGGAAGGGGAACACCACACTCTGGGGACTGCTGTGGGGTGGGGGGAGGGGGGAGAGATAACATTAGGAGATATACCTAATGCTAAATGACGAGTTAATGGGTGCAGCACAGCAGCATGGCACATGTATACATAAGTAACTAACCTGCACATTGTGCACATGTACCCTAAAACTTAAAGTATAATAATAATAAAAATAAATAAATTTAAAAATAAATAAATAAATACAATAAAATGCACAAAAGGAGTGTTATATTTGCTGAAGGAGTATTTATTTGCTAAAAATTTCATATATTTTAATTCATTTTGAATGATGTATTATTTAATTATGTGAATGCACGCCTTTAAAAATTATTTTAAATCATTATCTTGTTTTTGAATGCTTGATTTTTTTCCCAGAATTTGCTTTTAAGAATACTGAGCTATGAATATCATGCACATATCTCATGGAACACATGTAAATCATATCCTTTGAGTATATACCTAGAAGTTAAATTGCTAAAAAGTTGGACATGTATAAGTTCATAATTATGATTATGCTAAACTGTACTACGAAAATTTTTCAAATTGAATATGTAATTTTCACTCTCACAAAGAATGAATCCAGGTAGACTGGCATCTTCCCAAACATTTCTTATTGTCAGATTTGTTATTCGTGATACATTTTTTGTTCATTAAAATGGGTATACAATATTATTCCATTGTGGCTACAATTTTATTTCTTTGAACACTAATAAGGACAAACATTTCTTCATATATTCTTGCCTATACCATTACCTCCTTTTTTAGATACCTATTTATGCCATTTTTCTTGAGCTATTTAAACTTTTCTTATTGATTTAAATAATTTCTTAATATATTCTAAATACTAATCTATTTTGACCATGTATATTTCAAATTTTTCTTCCAGGATCATACTCAGTATGTGTTTAATTAATTAATGAGTAATGAATGAAGTCATTTGTTCAATACAAGATTTTGCATTCAGCCAACGTATAGCTTTGACAAAGCCATTAAATTCCTTTGAATTTTAATCTTCTCTGTTTAATACTTACAATACATACTTCATCAATTTTGACTTTAGTTTAATGAGAAATCGAGATAGTGCAGAAATTGAAAAGCATTCTATACAAGTCTATTTATTGTTATTTCTCTTTTGAATGTTAAATATACAAAGATTGATGCATGCATACATACATACATACATAGATGATTAAATAATAGAGACAGATGATAGATTAGATTGGTACATAATAAATAGACACAGTTATATTTTATGAGTATAAGAAATACTATACTATAGTGTTTCTACCATTGCATCAACAAACCATAGCACATATAATTTTTTCTGACATTGTAACCAAATAATATATCTTTGAAAATTCTTTTTTTAATTTTAATCATAAGTTCTGTTTAATTTTACTTTACATTTTTCTTGTAGTCAAACTTTAAGAACCAACACAATATTCCAGATTCATCATACTTTAAATAAGGGTAAGAATTGACTTTCTCTGTTGTTTGCAGTATGATCCTGTTCAAGTTTTGCTGGATTATTCCTCCAAAGAAATGTACCTATGTCCAGATATTGAGGTACAGTATATCTGAAGTTGCTTCACCAAGTTTCAGTTAGTAATGCATAACTGACCAAAGGAAAATTAACTCTGGAGGAAACTGTATAAAATTATATTTCCATAAATCATCTAACTTGAGCTCTCCATTCAATTTGGCCAATTATTCAAAGCATAAAAAAGTTGATATTTTATCATTTAAAAGGTAGTGTTAATAAAATCTACAAATATATCTTAGAGATTTACATAAATAAGTTTTAATATAACCATGGAAGTACCCATAAAATAAAATGTCCTATTTAGCATATAAGTTGGAGCTCAATTTGAACAGCTTACTGTTTAATAAAAGTGACATTTATATTGCTGACTGAATTATGTTATATTAATTTCGGGTTTTAGTTTGCAATTTTTTTAAACCATATAGTTGGACTATATACTAAGGTAGGAAAAAGAAAATTGATAAATTCCAATCTGACCTAATCCAGAAAAAAATGCATATCAAAACAAATGCATTATCTCATGAGATACATGCTATTATTTTAGTTATGTTAATGTTTTCTATAACAGCTGGATAAACTTTCCTCATGCTCAGGTTCAAATGATTTAAACAAAAGTATTTTATATATTAGTGCTACTGTTAAACACATTCTAATAAATTTGAAAATTTCTACTAGTTTGTAAAAAACATAAATGAAGAATTTAAACATACATGTTTGATACTTCTCCATACAATATTCATAAAAAGGAGAAAGCAGATGTTCAGATGTAAGATAAATAAATATTGCCACATGTAAATATGAACTTCAGCTGAAGAATCTTTAGTAGTAAGGTCTCTTACCTCAGTGATTCATAAGAGATGGTTAAACTGGAGTGAAAAATTTGGTATTATTTTGCCACACATACAGGACTTCTTGCAATACTACCAATCAATCTCTAAAGAGCACCAACTCAGTTACTAGGGCTGTATAATAAAGCCAATAACTTAGTGACTTCAAACAACATTTATTTTGCATGTAGTCGTTCATCTCTGCTGTACTCAGAATCACCTAAGGTGGCTGGGAGAATAGGGCTGGAATACTCTGAAGACATGCTGAGACTATGTGAGAACACCTGGAGGATAGAACACCTGAATTTCCTCAGCCAGCTCTCTCTATATCTGCTTGCCTCTTTCTGTGGTCTCTCCAGCATGGTGGTTTCAGTAGAGCCCGATTTCCTACATGCCAATTCAGGACTCCACAAACACTTGTCCAAGAAAGAGGCAGATAGAAGCCTCAGAAATCACATACCATCACTTTCACCACAATATATTGGTCAAGGTAGTTACAAAGTCTACTCATTGTAAGAACTAAAAATAGTGCCTTTCACCTCTCAACAGAAGAGGGTCAACATGAAATTTCATGAAAAGAAGGGTTATATATACAGAAGTTCCTCGATTTATGATAGAGTTATCATCTCGATAAACCCATCCTAAATTGAAAATATTGTACCTGGATTACTTACAATAGGACAGCTTTATTTCAACATAAGCCCACTGTACTGAATGAATATCACTTTGTCACCATTGTAAGGTCAAAAAATTACTAAGTTGAACTACTGTAAGTCAGGAACTGTCTGTGTGTATGTGTGTGTGCACACATATATGTACATATATGTACATACGTGTATTATATTTGGAAAATATCTCCCTCAAGCTCTGATGTGGAAAGACAGATCCTGCTAGAAAAAATAATGTAAATGCAACCTAGCCTAAATGAGAAAAACAGAACATCAGTATCAGTAATAGGTAACTGAAGAAAGCCACCGACTGAAAGTATGATGAATCTCGTAAGATTTTGATAGTGCCACTATTGTGAAAAAAATCACCCCGAATCAGCTGAAAACCCCAGCGTCAAATGCTGCTTCTGCTTCTACTACAACGTAAGTGCCTAAAGGAGGAGTTGGCAAAAAAGAACATGGAATCACAACTTACGGTTAAAGAAATCTTCCTATCAGAAAAGTATTTTATCCTCTTTTTACTGCTAAATATTGTCTTTTGTAGGAGGGAATCAATGTGAAGGAACAGTAGTTACTTCATCTAAAACTCTAAACAGAACAATTAATGTCTACCTTGGACATCTTTGGGTGGGAGACACTATTTAATGCCTAAGACTTACACTTAGAGGGTGCTTTAGAGTGTGCTGGCTGACTCTTTTAGTACATTAAGCATTCTCTCTCTATTCATGGACTTTTAAAAGTCTTCTCTTTTTCAGGCTCTCCTACTTATTGAAACCTGTATGTTTCACCTTGCCTGCCCTTTGCAGACCCATCTTTTGTAATCATGTCCTTTTTCTCCACCTGCCTGTCCTGTATATGTGGCTTCAGCTTATCCTGACATCTGATTGGACTTTTTGTCCTAAGGCTAACCATAAGGTAGGCCCACTCACTCTCATATCCAGCCCTAGGTTCCAGAATCTCCTTGCAGAAACTGAAGTCTGGTCTCTCACTTTGTGGGTGAATGAGTATGAATTTCTAAAACAACTTGTTTAAATTATTCCATTAAATTTTTTCAATCCTATGATTTAGGCTCAACATGCTTGCGTTTGTTTTAGAGTAAAGAAGAGATATGATTTATTAAAATCATATAACATATAAATAATAGGGTTATTAGAATTTAGGTATTCTGACTCTAATCTAGATCTTTCTATATATCACAAGAATCATTCAAGTATTTTGGTATCAGTCAAGCCTTTAGTATTTCTGAAGGTAAACTTTAATGCCTTTATTTCTCAAGCATATCTGTATTTCAAACATCTTTCTTATCAAAATTAAGATTTAGCTAGTACATACATATTCTTTGATATGCACTGAGTATTTTTGTAAGCACATGTAATGCATTATTTATTTATGACAGCAATACTATGAGGAAGTTAAATATAGACATAGCAGAGAGTTGAGTAAGTTTGGAGCTGGGGTTTAATACTAGACAGTGTGCCTCCAGATTTAATGTTTTTGCCCATGATGCAATGCTGCTCCTATCAAACCGATGGTCTCCTTACAAGTTTAGCAAAGAGCTTTGTACAAGTTAATGCGAAAGGAGAATCAAACAAGAAGTGTTTAAAAAACAATTTGTAAAAAATTAAATTTAGAAATTCTTAACTTGATTGTTGATGTATTTCTTGCAAGACTATTCATTATAAAATCATTTCTTACTATTTGAAACCATTAATCAAGTATATACTTAAAACACATTTAATAACATTCAAATGAGCACATTGATATTTTTTGACACTAGAAAAAGGGCACTTCCAGTAGCTCTTAAAGAAAATGCCTAAAGCAGTAATTCATTAATGTCAAACATAGCCAGATAAATATATCTTAAAAATTGTTTTTCTAGATTAAACGGGTTTCTATTAACTTTAAAATAATAAAAATGTTATTGCTCTATGAATTTCATAGAAGACATTAAATCAATATAATAATATGAATCAATCAATATTCACACCATTATAATTTCTAAAACTATATAATTTAAGACAAGTTAATTTCATCTATTACTGATTAAATATGTGGTGCTCATTCTAGTAACTATTTCAGTTTAATTCAGCGTGGCCTGGATGTGAGACACGGAATCAAAGGAGATCATATTGGAGCTTTAAGATTTGATTTTGGACTTGCATGGGACCTGTAGCCCCTTTGTTTTCGCCAATTTCTCCCATTTGGAATGGCTGTATTTACCTAATGCCTGTAGCCCCATTGTATCAAAAAAGTAACTACCTTGCTTTTAATTTTACAGGCTCATAGGCAGAAGGGACTTGCCCTGACTTGGATTAGACTTTAGACTGTGGACTGTGGAATTAATGCTGAAATAAAGTAAGACTTTGGGAGACCATTGGGAAGGCATGATTGATTTTGAAATGTGAAAGGAACATGAGATTTGGAAGGGACTGGGGCGGAATGATATGCTTTGGCTTTGTCCCCTTTCAAATCTCATCTTGAATT